>NW_003315939.2:0-169178 GCF_000001405.40 Homo sapiens
AATTCAGGGGAGAAAAAGATGACAGGAGCTAAATTTGGATCTTTCTCATAAATATGAAACTCATTATCCTGAGAACAAAAGATCTCTCCCAAATTCTCAGAAAGCCCCCTTAAAAACAGGCAAGGAATTATTTCAGGGTGTCCTTGTAAAAGTCAGCACAGATGGCATTTGAATTTGTACATCACTGGCATGCATAAGTATACGTATAGCAACAAGGTGTGCAAAACTTGTAATTCCCTAGACTTTGACCACAGGAGAATAGGATGTGACTGTTATGCTAATGATCTCATTAATATCATGAATACAATTAACAAATGAAGTCAATTATCACTGGCAAGCATTCATTACAAAGAGATAAGTTGCTGTGCTCCAACCACACAAGTAACTATTTTGCTGCATTTGTCCGGAAGCTCTCTTTTCATCTTTGCTCATTTATTACCACTAAATGTATAAATGCCTGGGAATGTGGACTCAGCTCATTACTTATATATATTACCTTGATTATAATTTGACCTCATGTACACTTCAGTTTGAAGAACCCTACAAAATGCCACTTCTATTTATAACACAGCCTCATCTGCCAAGCCTACAGGAGAAAGCCTAATTGGAAAGAATAAAAGGTTACATTTGTGTGTAAACTGCACATTCATTTAGTCATCGATTTTATTCTTTCTAATTATCAGTGGTTGTGCATCTCCCAGTAGCTTGGATATAGTTGGTTTTCCTCCTAATAATTCCTGAGAAATAGAAACTCTAATGATCAGATCAGTCGTTGGGAAGTGTGGTCTCAATGTGCAGTTTATTGGGGCTGTCAAAAATTAATTTCAGCATTCAAACTTAAACTGCCATAAGACTGTGGTTCAGAGGCCAAATGCCTATTTTTATGTGACTCTTTCACTATCTGTATCATAAGAGCTGCATGTTCTTTGTAGTTTAAAACAAAATAATGGTCTTACCAGAAGTCCCACAATTAAATCTTGTTGCAGGCAGCTTTTCTTGCTGCCCCTCCATAAGAAGTGAAACGGTTCTCAGACGTGGATTTTAAACTGTTTGAAGAAATGACTGAAGCTGACCTCTACTGGGAGCCATCTCAGTTCCCAACCTGCAGCATGCACAGCTGCCTCTCTCTCTCCTTCTGCCCACCTCGGCTTGCCTCCCCATCCCTAAGTCTCCCTGGTATTAATTAGTCATTTCTTGCTGCCCTAACAAAGTACCACAGACTGGTGGCTTAAACCAGGGGTCCCCCCACCCCCAGGGCCACAAACCGGTACCAGTCCCTGCATGGCCTGTTAGGAACTGAGTCACACAATGAGCTGCACGCAAGTACGCTAAGCTTCATCTGTATTTGCAGCCACTCCCCACTGCATGAATTACCAGCTGAGCTCTGCCACCTGTCCGATCAGCAGCAGCATTAGATTCTCATAGGAGTGCAAACCCTATGGTAAATTGTGCATGCAAGGGATCTAGGTTGTGCATTACTTATGAGAATCTAATGCCTGATGATCTGTCACTGTCTCTCATCATCCCCAGATAGGACCATCTAGTTGCAGGAAAACAAGCTCAGGGCTCCCACTGATTCTACATTATGGTGAGCTGTATAATTATTTCATTATGTATTACAATGTAATAATAATAGAAATAAAGTGCACAGTAAATGTAATGTGCATGAATCATCCCAAAACCATCTCACCCCCTCCACGAGTCCATGGAAACTCTGTCTTCCACAAAACTGGTCCCTGGTGTCAAAAAAGTTGGGGACTGCTGGCTTAAACAACAGAAATTTATTTTCTCACAGTTCTGGAGGCTAAAAGTCCAAGATCAGCCAGCCAGCACGACTGGGTTCTGGTGAGGGCTCTGTTTCTGGCTTGCAGATGTCTGCCTTCCCACGGTGCCCTCGCATGGTGAGAGAGAACTCTGCTATCTCTTCCTTTTCTTCTAAGAGCACCCGTTCTCCCAGGTCAGGCTCCAGCCTTATGACCCCATTTAACCTTCATTACTTTCTTCAAGGCCCTCTCTCCAGTATAGCCCACATGAAGGGTTAGGGCTCCAACATATGAATTTAGGGATGGGACACCATTTAGTTTATGGCACCCCTGGCCCCGGCACATTGATGCTCTTATTCACCATGACGCAACATCTTTTCAAACAAAAAAGTTTTGAGGAAGCTGTGCTGGGAGAGTGGCTGGTGAGTAGCAGGGCTCCCCCAGTTCACAGGCTGTGTCCTTTTTGCAATATGCCTCCTCATATCGCTTTGTCAGGTGGGTCCTTTGCAGAGGCCAAGGCAGAAATTTCTCAGGGAGGTTGTAGGGGTTGAAAGAGTAGGGAAAGGGCTGTTTCTCCAGAAGTGTCTGTGGTTATCTGAGCAAAGAATGGCTCTGATTAGGAAAGGTGGAGTAAACTGAAAAGATGGACTCCTAAGGGGCTGGCCTTAAGAGGGGACTGTCATCTGCATCATGGGATCTGAGGAACACTGAAAATGTCTGTTCAAAATGCCTCACTCCTTGGCCTGATGCTGACACTAAAACTTCACCACTAGAGATAAGGAAAAGAGGATCCATGTAGTTGTCAGCTAATAGAAAATGGAGGGAGGAGAAAAAAACATTGCTTGTCATTTTTTCCCAGACTATAAGAGCCAAAGGGAAAGAAGAAGCATTTTGCTCACTTTTGAACTCCCACCAAACTTAGTACGGTTGCCTGCGTAAAAGCGGGTGCTCAGTATATCTTGAGTGACCCCAGAGGATTTGGGTTCCTTTTGCATTCACATGCCAAGTGCTGAGTAAAACCTATTAACTTTAATGTTATTTATGTCACCAAATATATTTGTCCATTTCATTTTCGTCACCTGAGCCAAACTGGGCGTGGATGCCATACAAGGCCAAGCATTAAAACAGCCCCACAAAAGTCACATTTATACATTCAGTTCTTTCTAGTCCTCTCCCCACTTCATGAATATTTTAAATAATAGAATACAAGCTATTTTCTATTTAGTGTTGCTATAATTAGAAATTATTCTGGGCTACAGTAAAAGCACAACTGATGTGTGATTCACTTTGCAAATAAATTTACTGTTTAGCATTTTAACCGTGGATTCATTTACTGTATTTTCAGATTGTTTTTATATGAAACAGCTAACTGTTCTGCTTTCTTCACTTTGCAGTATTGGAGGTGTTTCCATTTTGAAACCACATCTCTTAACTAAACGAGTTGATTAGAGAAATGAGCAAATTAACAAGGTCAAAAGAAGGTCTTGCCCTGAAGGCACAGACTTGAAGTGTTCAGCTGATGGAGAGGTAAGGAAGAAAGAGAAAGCTGCCAGGCCATAGTCAGGGGGAGGCAGAGTCTGGTTATTTGTACCTCATACACGCCTAACCTGTGGACTCCTCTAAATACTGATGTATCTGTTTCTTGAACTAGCAAGGGCTCATCTGGCTGCAAGAATAGGGTAGAATCCCCACAAATTAGCTCAGAAAAGGGGCTCCGTTCAAAGGACACATCTCTTGTGGAATCCATGGAAGTGCAGGGGGAAAATAAAAATGGGAAAAACAGGACTCAGAGGACAAATTAGGGCTTGTCTGGGATCCTCTGCACCAGAAGCTCCCAGATATTCACATCAGCTACACAATTAAGGTGTCTGGGCTCTTAAATCCCCCTGTCTCTGTAACTTGGTCCCTTGCTACTCAAAGTGTGACCCTGGGACCAGCAGCCTTGGCATCACCTGGAAACTAGTTAGAAATGCGGAGTCTCAGATTTCACCCCTGCACTATTGAATCAAGATCTTTATTTTAGCAAGGTTCCTAGTAATAGGCTAGCCGCTTGGCAGCAGACTTGCCACCACTATGGCAAGAGGCTACTCCTGATCGAATTCTGGGGAGATAAATGAACCAAAGTCATAGGGCATAAAGAATAGTTAGGCATTGCAGACAAACTGTCCTACTGCATATGTTAAGTGTGTTTTGAGCTAAATTAAACCTGTGTCCATTCTGAGTGTTCAGTTCCCCAGAGAGTCTACACTGTGTACCCATTGGTACCATCTTGATGCACATCTCTTGAAATTAAGCATCCTTGTTTATTGGATGACTAGAAATGTCAACTTTCATTAGCAAAGTGAATGTTTGGTCCTTTATAAACACTGTTGTCACACCAAAAAAATGAATGTAGTGCACATATACAAGAAAAGAAAAAGGCGAGCTCTTTATAATTCTTACCAGTTCAGTGATCCAGTAATGAGCTCTCATGACCTCCTTTCTTCTCTAAAATCTGAATTCCTCCTAAGCAGCATCTTCACTGATGCTTTAATCCCAGGCGGTGGTTTCCATACCTGGAGGTATAGAACAGAGCTGTATGTCATTTTCTCCTCAGGATTTAAATTTAACTGGAGAAGGCAAGACTGTGGGTAGCTAATTAATAGATTTTTTTTTTTACAATTGCATGTACCTGGCATTATTCTGATTAAATTTCCAAGCCGATTAAAAATGAGTCCAAAAGATTGGCAAGCATGGTTTCCCGCCTTGAGGAGCACAGAACTGGCTGGGGAAGTCCCCAAGCAAACTTCCGAGTTGAGAGACATGCCAAAAAAGAAAGGAAGGTGGTGAGCACAGGTTCAGAAACAAGATTTGCAGTTTCTCTCTCTTTCCATCTCTCACCTCATATAACAAGCACCAATCTTTCTGTGCTCTAGTTTTCAGCACACAGAAATTTCTGGTTCTTATCTACCAGCAGCCAGAAATACACAAACCCCTCCGGTATCACAGATGCGGGATTTCCACTACAGCCCATTTACTGAGTGTTCTGCATTTCACACATATTCAATGGGCCCTGCTTCTCAGGGCTACCCGGCCTGAGCCCTGCCCTGGGCTCCCGGGGCGCCTGCCATAAGCACATCCTCCTTGTTAAAAGAGACATTGGCCACTCCCCTTTGTTATTCAGACGCTACCACTCGGTAGAGAGATTAGGACCTAAGAAAGGCTCTGTCTTTGATGTCATTTTACAAATACATAAATATAAGGAAATAGAGGGAAGGAAAACTTCACGGAAAAAAATGTTTTAAAACAGTGCCCAGAACAGCATCTTTAGGTAGATGCCTTTTCAAACCAGGTGGTTCTGGTGAGCGTTTCCAACATGTGCCAAGAGGTGGGCACTTGATCCAGTTGGACCAATCATAAAGTCTCACACTTTGGTCACTGTGATTGGGCCAGGAATAAACACGTGACCCCCCCTCAATCCAGCCAATCAGGATTCTCCTCTGTTTTTTTCAAACTTGAGCTTAGGAGAGAGTACCTTTCCTCTCTAGTCTTGGAACTGTAAACGTGGGAGGCTAGAGCTGTAGCAACCATGGCTCCAGCCACATGAGAAGCCAATGTGCGCAGACAAGCTGATGCTCAAAGAAGCCAAGACAAGCAGGAAGAGAATTCCTCACAATGTTCAAGTCCCTGGTTCCAGTTGTCCCTAATGTTGACATCGCCCCTCCCTTCCAGTTCCATTAACCAGTAAATCCTCTTTTCCGCTTTCTCTAGTTCAGTTTCTTTCACTTGCCACAGCTAGCAATTATTTCCAGTCACTCTCCTGCTGTGATAGCTGCCCTCAGCAAACCCCTCTTTTTAAAATAGAAATGCCTCCTCAGAAGCCAGGAGAGTTGCTAGCGTAAACAGATCCACACCATGATGCAGTCAGAAGATCTGGACGGCTACAAAAGGCAGGAAAGGGGAAATAGAAACAACTGGCAAGCATTTTATGTCGGGATCAAATTGCCATTTTTACACAAATCTTTGTTATTAATGGAATATAGTATTCCTGGATTCTTCTCATTATAAGGATTGCACGCTCCACACTCACATCTGTGTGTGGAACAAGCCAGAGGGTGACCTACACTCACTATGGAAAGCGTTCAGTAGGCCCTTGCCAATGCAGAGGACGGCAGACTGAACTAGACCTCAAAGACTATGTGATCTGGCCCGGCGTGGTGGCTCACGCCTGTAATCCCAGCACTTTGGGAGGCCAAGGCAGGCGGATCACGAGATCAGGAGTTCAAGACCAGCCTGACCATGCAAACTGCTACCCCAAGGCCTTTGGATATGCTATCCCTTCTGACTAGAAGGATCTCTGCTTATTGCCTCCCACCCACAAATTAATCTCACTCTTCCCGAAGACTTCAATCAATTATTATTTTTTTCACAGAGGACTTTGTTAATGCCCATGACTGCATCAATTCTCCTGACTATATACACTCATTTCACCATGCACCTCTCCTCTAGAGGATTTAGCATGTATCACAATTGTAATTATATTTTGTCTGCTTCCCCTGGTGAATTTTAAGCTTGCCATTGTATCCTCATCATCTTTCACAGAACCTGATATATAGTTCAGTAAATATTTGTTGGATAGATAAGCATATTTAGGTTAAGGGTAAAATGATAAAACAAAGAAACTCAACAATAATTCAAAGATTGAGAAAAGATAGCTTGTTATTTACCTAAAAATTAGTGGTGAGCATTCCATGTCAGTGGGTGGCTTTGCTCCACATAGTCATTCAGAGACCCATGATATGAGTCATTCAGAGACCCAAAGGTTGAGTTGATAAATTCCAGCCAGTAGAGAGGAAAAAGAGAGCATGAAGATGCATATCGGGTGTATAAAGTCCCAGCGTTGCAAGAAGCACAAATCACTTCTCACATTCCACATGACAACACCTAACTACAAGGGAAGCTTAAAAACATAGGATATCTTGGCAGCCACATGCCAACTACAATTTTGTTACTACAGAAAAGAAAAACATAAGTCATGGACAATGAAGACTGCCCACCACAGAGTGAATTAATAAATGGGTGAATATGGTCCTCCCAGCTTCCACATAGCAAGCACCATTTGCCCATCTCCTCTGGTTTTCTGCCAAGTCCACCAAAATCAACAATGGGGCACCCAATGCCCAACATCCTAGGTCAGATGCGTCCTTATGTGGCCAAGGCAGTCAATACCAGTGCTGCTGAACCCATTGACTTATATTCCCAAGGCCCCAAGGAAGAGCAACTGAAGCACTCTTTTCTTTTCCTCTTTCTTGCACTGTAATTCCTCTCTCTGTGGGATTCAGGGATAGGTCTATGGTGGCTGGGCTGGAAGGCAAGTCAAGTGATGGTACTGGACTATTCTCAAAGTTGACCAGCCCTGGAACATTAGACTATTACCCTGGCACCAACTTCTTGAGCAGAGAGTCTCTTTACTCAGGTTGAGTTCTTTCTCAAAAGGTTTGTTGGTCTTCCATACAAAGACTCCTAGAGAAATTACCTGACAGGCAGGCTCTTCTGACTACCCAGGCATGCTTGAATTAAAAGACTTCACAGAGATATTTCTCAAATTAGGACCTTGATGATATAGGATAAAGAAAATGTCTTCAAATAGATTCATTTATAAAACATTTCTAGATGATCAAAAATCACTGAGTTGTTACCAAACCAGAAAAAGTTGTTATATGCTGTTCCAGTTGCTACTGCTGCATAGCAAACACCCTAAAACTCAGTGGTATAGAACAGCCATTTTATTATGCTCACAGATTCTGTGGGTCAAAAATTTGAACAGAGCACAGAGGGAGGGCTTGTCTTTGACCTCTGATAGCTGTGTATTCAAGGAGGAAGACTCAAAGACTGAGGGTTACTCAACAGCCGAGGAGTGGAATCATCTGGCCTGCTCACATGTCTGGTGGTTGATGCTGGTGGTCAGCTGGGATCTCAGCTAGGCTGTTAGCTGAAATACCTGTATATGGCCTTTCCATATGGCCTCTGCATGTGAGCTAGCTGGGCTTTCTTATAGCATGGTGGTTAGATGCCAAGAACAAATGTGCCAACAGAGCAAAGCAGAGCTGCATGGCATTTTCATGATCTACCTTTGGAAGTCACAGAGAGTCATTTCCACCACACGCTATTGATCAGTGCAATCACAATATCCACCCACGTTCAAGAGGAGGGACACTGGCTCCACTATTTTATAAGTGAAATGTCACAGTCACATTATAAGAGAACAAGGGGTAGGAGAGACAATTGTCATCATCTTTGGAAAATACAATCTGCAACATATTGCCTCAGTTGCCTCTGATGAAAAACAGATGTTTTTTAACAAATAAGCCAATTAGCAATATTTTTGAAACAGTAAGGATTTGAGTTTTGCTTTAATGACTTGAAAGGCAGAGTAGTTAATTCAGACAAAAAAATACTTTATTCTATTAAAATAAAATCAGCACTAATAATCCTCAATGGTTTTGTAGATCTACTGGCCAAACAGATTGTCACATGTGTTTATATCACATATATACCATCAAAATGCAAGGGTGGAATGATGAATAACTTGTACACAATTAGGGCCATGGAAAACTATAGGGTAAAGGAAGTGTTCTCATTGAAATATATGTATTTCTTTCAATATCTTTTTTTCCTATCCCTATGTAATCCAAATGTCCTCAGGCTTCACTAGCCTGTGAGGCCACCATAACAACAGTGCTCACATCTTGCTGTTTTATGTCCTCTACTTGCATTCATAAGGTTTTTGTAGCCACCGTCACCTCCTCAGCCTTAAAGTCTTACCCATTCTGAGAATCTCCAAGTGTTGAGTTCAGAAACAAGTTTGTTCACACCTTCTGCTTTCAATGTCCACTAACAAAGAGCCAGCCACTTCAAGGAGGTATCTGGGCCCAGCCATATCTGCCAGTATCATCCATGAGGACATTTCTCTGAGGTCCACAGTCTCACACAACATTCTATCCCCACCCTGAGCCCTCATGTGGCCAACCTGCATCTAAGAAAATGGACTCCTTGCAAACGCTGACACACAGACATACAAGCACATGGCTTGCCAAGGTTCATTACATTTCTCATTATAGTAACCCTTTTCTTCTGCTGTCTCCCTCTGCTTCTGTCTGAAACGGAACACCTTTTACTATTGGAGTTAGACCTTTAGAAACATATGGGAAGGCCAGTGTCCACACCATTCCCAAGCCACCATCTTTAAGGAGCCAAAGCAGGGTTGGGTTCTGTGCAGAGATGTGGAAAATGGATTACAGGAGAGAGTGACAGAGGAGTGGGGACAGGGAGAGAGAGCGAGAGATTCACACAGAGAAAGAAAGCTCGCAAAGTGTTAGCAACTGATCAATCTAGAAGGTGAGATTTATATATGTGTTTATTGTTTTGTTATTTCAACTTTTCTGCCGATTTGAAATATTTGAAAATTAAAAGTTGAGAGAACAATTTTAAAATAAAGGACTACAGAAGACAAAAAATAAAATTGCTTTAGTGACTACATCTTATGAGCCTGCTGGTTAGATGTATAGGTTATAGTCATTAAAACAAAAGGTGATGATGGCCCAGACTAAGGCGGTGGGAGTGGGAGCAAATGTAGAATCTAGATATGAGAGAGAAATTTCTGGCTGGAAACAAAAAGGTATGGCTGATTGGATATGGGTGTGAGGGAGGGAGGAGTGAGGGCTGTCACTATGATATTCAAGAAGAGCATGAGAGATAAACTCTATTTGAACACGTAGAGTTCAGGTTCCTAGGAGACATCCAGGCAGAGATGGCCAGAGGGCAGACTGAACCATGGGCAAGAGGTCAGCACTGAAGTTACAAATACTTAGGAATTAATAGAAGCTGAAGCATGTACATGCATGAGCTCAGCCGGAAAAAGTAAGAAGTAAAGTGGAAGGAGGAGAAGACAAGGACAGGCTGTTTGAGGTGTCATAGGAAATTGATATCCAGGATGAAGCACTCAGTGTTAATCCCACACTCCATACTGTCTCCTGGTATAATTCATTCCTGGGCAAATTCCATTCCTCAATAACATTTTTTTCTTTCCTTGGGTTGTGTTTTATTATTTTAGTTTTATTATGCTGGTACAAATGCCAAGTACTTCTCCTAATAAATGGCCTTTTTCATCTGTTATATCACCCAAATGAATCCAAGCACTTATAATTAGCAAGGTTTACATAACAGGTATAATTTCTTGATAATAAAGTCTAACCATTATCATTGATTTTTCTTAATGGAACATTTTGTTTTTGAAATAAACAGCAGGCATTAACCAAATATATCTGGATAGCAATAATACTCAACTCTGATCATAACCTGTTTGCTACTCTCTTGAAACTAATCATAATTCTAGAACAAAATAAAAACATTAGAAGATTAATAAAAGCCATTTTATCAGACAAGGCTCATTCTTCTTTAGTGCTATATTTATCTCACAAGGGAAAATTACTTTATTACATGAGTAGCAATGCATTTATGACAAGGCACTTGAAAAATAAGTCTGATGCTCATTTTGAAATTCTATTTCTTAGTAGTCGTAGGCCATGCAGTCATCAGAAATACTTTCAAAAAGAAAAAACTAGCACATGCTTTTAAGTGCTTTGCTTCCAATAATAAAAGGACTGGCAGGTGTATATATTAGAGTTTAGACTGTCGGTATTTGGTTTATGTTAAATCATAAATGAAATTCAGTACTATGGCCATACCAGATCTAAATATAGTCGTGCCCTGCATAACAATGTTTTGGTCAGTGATAGACTGCACGTATGACTGTGGTCCCCTAAGATCATACCATGATTTTACTGTACCATTTCTATGTTTAAATATGTTTAGATATGCAAATATATCATGTTATAATTGCCTACAGTATTGAGTACAGTAATATGCTGTACAGGTTTGTAACCTAGGAACAATAGGTTATAGCATAGGCGTGTAGTAGGCTACACCATCTAGGTTTCTGTAAGCACACTCTGATGTTCACACAATTACAAAATCACTTATTGAACACTTTTCTCAGAATGTATCCTTGTCGTTAAGCAACACATGACTGTAGTTAGACAAAAGAGAGGGTTTTTCAATTATTCAGTAATTTGATATAGTCAAGCAAATAATTCCAAGGAATGGGGGGGAAATGCCCCCTACTGCCTAAACTACTCTAATTGGCAACACTTAGAAGATCCATGGGTAAATCACTGGCCTTGTTACCTCTGTGTCACCAGCTTACCCCACCAACTAGCTCAGAACCCTAAGATTCTGCAAAGTATCTGCCCCACCCCAATCCCACCGCAAAACAAGTATCATATTTCCAAGAGTACCTGGCTGGCAGAGATTGCCTATCATATTTCATTCTCCTATTTCAAGATATAACCTGGAGCAGCTGCCTAGCCAGGGAAACCCATTGCCCACTCCATTTGCAGTTAGGTAGAAACATATAACTCCTTTCCACTGTGAAGTAGAAGGGGGGTAATTTGTGCCACTTCTAGACTGAGGTTTTTAAGAAGCAGGCATATCTCCCCCATGCTCTTTTTTCTTCTACCAGCTGAATGCCATGACAACCAGGTGCCAAGGAACTTCAGAATCTCCAAATGGAAGTCTCCAAAGCCCCTGATTCACCAGAAAGAGAGAAAACCATCCACTGGCCACCACACTGTTATATGAGCAGAACACAAACTCCTGTTGTGTTTGAGCCTGTAAACATTCTGGGCAGCAGATTATCCTCTTTAACATACAAAATGATGCCTCAAATATGCCTACAAACAAGTAAAATCAGCTATCCAGAAAGCTACTCTGTGCCATAGTTTCTTTATTTCTATTTCTGCAACATGAGGCACCCCAGTGTCAACCAGGGACCGCTACATCTGCTGGGCTTCCCCACTCACGTTACTTCAGTCTGGCACATCTGCCTCTTCTGCCAGGATTGCCAGACATTATTGCCATAGCCTCTGGGCACCACTGCCTCCACTGGCACTTCCACTGCTTATTTTGGGTACTCATGCTCTGGCTTAACACGCTCACTCTTCCTGAATTCTGCTACCTCTTCGGCTGAGGCCCTCGAATTACTGAAAGTCCTCCAAGCTTTGTGGTGAATTAAACAAATGCATTAATCCATTTTGATGTTACACTCATTTGATTTCAAGCAGCTGAAAGAAGAGAAAACCCAGCTCACAGTGGCTTAAGCAATAAAAGCATTTACTGATCTCGTGATATAAGAATTCTGAAGATGTGGAGCTCCAAGTTTGGTGCAGCAGCTCCACAGCACCATCCATCATCTAATTTCTTTCTGCCTCAACCATGCCATTCTCAACTGTGAGCTTTTCATTCTTGGACATGCCATCTCTTGATCACAAGATGACTGCCACAGATACAAGCTGCACATCTTCACACAATATCAGGTGGGCAAAATGGTAAGAGAGTTTCTCCCAGAAGCCCAGCTGCAGCCTTCTCCTTGCACAGCATTGAGTAGAACTAGGTCACATGGTCATCATAGCTCTGGGACCCCTGGGAAAGGGAGACTGTCAAAGTAATGAAATTGCCATTAATGACTTAAACCAATCATGATTTTAGCCCTCATAGTGGGGCATAAGGCTACCCCCTCCCCCTCAAAGAAAACAAGATTGTGTTTACAAAAAGGAGGGGAAATCGCTATTGGGGTTAGGAGGGCAACTAACAGTGTCCGCCACAGATTCTGATTCCGCCGTATCACCTTCCATACACAGAAAATCTAGTCAAGGTCTTCTCTCTTCTACAGCCCAGATTTGAGTCCATCGGGGACTGGCCAGGTATAAGGCTAAGTGGTGGGCATCTGTCCCCTGTGTCATCCACACATACACTGGCTGTGACTATGGTTTTGATAATGGATGAAGCTTTTCAAGCCTGTCTCCTTCTCTCTGAATGAGTGCTCATCCAGTACCTGTAGTGATCAAAAAAGGCTTCGTTGCAGCAGTGCTCCACCAGTTTGACAGACAAGCTTATACATGTTTATATTCCATAATAGTCATTGTTTGGGCTTAAGCTGCAATTTACCAGCCTTATCCCACCACTTTTCATTTTGTCTTTACTGGACTTCAAATTAAGAAGCACATCATTTTTGATACATACTCAATACTGGTCAGAATGTTTTAGATAAAATCTTATCTTGGAACATGTACATATCTTTAAACATTTCAAAAAGGAAATTCTGCAAGTGTTCAAGTCACATTAACAATAAATACTAAGAAAGACAACAGGCCATTTATTCAATATTAACCGCATTTAAATGTGAGAAAAATCAAAGATTGTTAAAGGAAACACACTACTTGTCAGAAATGGTATGTGTTAATAATTCTGAGAGAAAAATTCTAATTCATCTACAACTTCAAAGGGTAACATTTCCCAGGGGAACTTAAATTAATCATAGAAAAGGAAAATGCAATGGCATTACATGCATTTTTTAGGCTCTTGATATTTTCCTTCTACCTATTTAAATGAATTTCCAAAATGATGGACTCTCTCTGGAGTAAACCTCCAGAACAATCTGAGATGAGGCTTTCTGATTGTCCATATTTCATACTTAGGGCAGTTCAGATGCCTCTGTGATAAGAGAGGCTTGCAGCTGACACAAAGTTTCTGATAGAGAAACTGAATTTATTAAAATACAATATCTATCGATGTGCTAACACGTAAGATGTCTTCAGGGCTTCAGTTAAGGTCGATGATTTCTAGTCTACATAAATTTCCCTGGAACTGACTGTAAACTAGTTAAATGGCTGACTGGTGACAAAAAGATGAGGAAAATAATGAATGCATATAAAGCAGCACAAAAGATTTGGAGGCAATTGTATCTGCTCTGTAATTATGTTGGTGCACGGGAAATTAAAATTCTTGCTGGCCTCCTCCTTCCCTTCCACCCTTCCCCCAGGCCTCCTCATCTTGTCTCAATAAAAAAGCTCTTGAAGTAAATGGGAATGGTAGTTTGAGGTCAAAGAAAACAAAAAGAAAGAAAGATAAGAAGAGAGATGAAAAGAATGGGCAGGAGGGATCTCCATGGCCCCCAGGGAAGTAAAGGGCTCTTGCACGACCAAGAAAGGCTGTCTTAACTAAAGTGTCTGGTCAAGGAAGGAAATCGTTCAGATGAATTTTTTTGCCTCTTACTTCTATCCTGCACATTGGGGTGTGATTATCTGTGTATATTATATTATTCCTCCAGAGCAGGGTTGGACAACGACAGCAAGGCCAAATCTAACCTACCACTTGTTTTTATACCACCCACAAGAATGGGTTTTACATTTTCTAATGGTTACATTTTTAAATGTTACATAAATACCTACATAATTCACTCAATTTTGCCTCACAAAATCTGAAATATTTACTCTCTGGCCCCTTAAGAGTTTTTCAGCCCCTCATTAGATGAGACCTCCAGAAGCAGCTCTGTTCGTTTATACTGTTCTCCCTTGGATGGAATAAAGCCTGGTGGTTGGATGGATAAAAAAGAGTTTTGAGAGCATCCTGGAACAGGGGCAAAAACTTTTTTTTTTCATTTGCGAATGAAGAAACCAAGATCTATGGATGCCAATCAACTGACCTAAAGTCCAGCTGCTTTTTAGTGGCAGAGCTAAAGCTAGAATCCCCTCCACAGCATACCACCTTGATCTGGTGCTGCCAACAAGGCATTACAACACCTTTCGAGCTCTGTCTTTCAATCCAACTGATCAACCTCTGTGCATCAGTAAGATGCAAAAGCATGGCTATTCAGCGTGTGCTTTGATGAAGAGGGACAAATGCAGTTAGTAGAGAGAAAAAACAACAACAACAACAACAAAAACTAATCTTATTCCTAAAGAGAGGTACAGTTTGAAACTCAGTACCTGGGTAAGTGACAAACCTGATACTGTCCTAAGCAATTAATCTATGACTATATGGACCTATTGAGGAGACCCTGAAAAACATGACTGTGTTTACTGTGAAATTCAAAACTGATTTGTAATGCACTTAATGGTAAACTGAGAGTAAAAAACACACTGATGAAACAATTTTTTTCATTATGTATGCTAGTAAAAAACACACTGATAAAAAGAATTTTTTCATTATGCATGCTCAGAATAACATCAGAGAGAAAATAATTTCCTTGACACATTTTATGGCCATTTTGAATGTCTCTAGTGATAAGAGTTTCTAACTCTTCTCAGGAAGGCTACTCCCTAAATGAATACTTTTTGTTGTCATTTAGGTTTTCCAAGGCAATATCTCAAGGTCTAATGGGTTTATTCAACACTCAACACAGATGCTAAGTTGAAACCTTTCTAATCATTTTCTAATCCAAGCTGTATTATGATTTTTTGCTATGTTTTTAAAAGCTTGGGGATTTGAAATCTTGACATGTATATTTTAAGAAATATTGATGCTTCCTTAGGAATTTAAGAGGAAAGAGTCAATCAGTTGGGCATAACTAGACACTCTGACCAGCTCTCTGGGAATAATTAGCCTAATGCTATTGCATAGGTGATGTGTGGCTTTATATTATCTACACAATGTGAAAGAAAAACCCTTCCTTCCTCTCTCTGGAGGGTTCTTTTGAAAGTCTTACTGCTCTAGTTAGTTCAATGCTATTTATTTTTACTGTGTTCATTATTTTAGTGCTCAAGAGTAATGTTCAATGTTTAGTAACAATAAATTTTATTTCCCATATGTCAGTCTTGTTACAAAGCTAATACAAATCCCTCTAAATCTTCTGCGCCATTTAGTATGCATTCATTACTTTCTTCATCTTTTTTTTTTGTCACCAGCCAATCATTTAACTAGTTTATAGTCAGTTCCAAAGTAATCTGTGTAGATTAGAAATCAAAAGTGTTGTCCAAGGCCCTCAAGGCATCTCACCTGGCCCTCTCTGTAGTGAATTGGGTTTTTTCTCTATCAAATCAACCACACATATATTCTATGTAGACCTGTGGTGTTGGCTTTATTTAACCTCCAACTTCAGAACACATACTCTCCAGTCATAATCAATCAACCAACAATTATTTCTACCCATGTAACGCTCTTCTAAGGAGTTGCTCTGGGTGAAAAAATAAAACCAGAATAAATGACAGCGGATGGCAAAAAAAAAAAAAAAAAAAAGACAGTATTAAACAAGTGATTTTTCTGAGTTGATTTAAACTTGGCTAAGGATTTTAGAAAGTCTTGTCATTTCACAAGTGAATGTCACACACAAAGAGTAGAGGGAACAAAGTGATTCTCAACAGAAATGTCTAGTTTTAATTTATAGAAGGATGAACCAAAGACAACCTACATTAAAATACATTTTACTCTTTACGTTATGTGGGACACGCTGTAAATATTGCCCCAACAAAACAAAATCTTGTGTCTATTTAGGCTATATTCAAATTTTCTCTAAAATAAATCAAGTAACGAATGTTTATTGAGTCCCACAGTTTACTCTGTAGGCCCTTCAACACAAAGATGTTGGAGATCAAGGAGAAGGCCAAATCCAGAAGGCAAGAAAGCATAGAGGGAAATGGAAGCATATCTATGCACTCTTTTTCTCTGTGTCTTTCCCACCCACTACCAGGGCAGCAAAGCTTTACCTTGACCTATTAGGACATGCTTATCATGAAAGATTTTAGAATAGAGTGAGACCATAGAAGCCAACTTTTCTTACAAACAATGTTTCAGGACACTGTTCACAAATCTCTGTCTGAATTTTCTAAGGCTATAATGAAGTAAATACCTCCCACCAAAAAAAAACCCCACAAAAACAAAAACAAACCACACAACAACCCTGCCTTCTGGTAAGATTGTATCTAGGTCAGGTCAACAGGTTCCTGTTTTATTTATGCCTTTTTAATTACATTAATTTCTAAATGACCTCTGAGCAGCACCAAATTTATAAATAGTAAAACCATCCTTTTAGAAATGTGTTCATGGGAGGTTAAGTCAGAACAAAAGATCAGGCTGCCCAACTCAAATGAGCCAGACAATACAACCAAAACCTTTATCAAGTACAAACAAAAATTCACCCAAACAAAATTGTGTTGTTAGGTAGACAAAACCTACAAACAACACACAGAATTCTGTTCCAAAGCAACTGGGTATTCTGGCACTTTATTACATTTCACAATCTAGTCATCGGTTCATATGTAATTTTTAAAAATCTACCCATAGTTTACCATGTCTTCAGATTTAAAAAAAAAAATGTGGAGCATGGTTTCCTCTGTGGATTAGTAATTAATTGGTTCCTACTGGGGCTGATTTTCCACACCTCTTTTTATACCGTAAGCCCCTTTCAAAATTATTTTAAACTTTTGGATGATTCTAAGTGAACAATAGCCCAGCCTTCATTAATAAACACATTACAATTCCCTAGCCTGGTTTTCCTGCGTCTTCTTTAGGGACAGCTCAGGGGCAGCACTAGGAGGACGTGTTCACTCTTTCTTCAGGTGCTTGTGCTTTGATGGTGACTGGTAGGCAGGCAAACTCCCTGGGCTAGTTTGCATGTTAAAGATACTCCTGGCAGGTATCTGGTTGAAGATCTGAAAGCTCCTCTCTTGTGTGAGCAAGGGCAAACTTTCTTTAGTGATATGAATTGACAATAAGAAGCATATTCAACAAACTTCAATGACCCTTTGTACCCCTTTTTTTAAAGCCAGAAAACCTATATTAGAGAAAGTTTGGGCCTAATGTTTTCTATTGTGTCACTCTGCCCTACTTCCCCCAGTTGCCAATAGCATAAAACATTTTAACATGTTACTACTTCTTAATTTGAGCACAGGCAGAAATCTGTCCAGTTTTTATTTTTTAAATTCTTTTCAATTTCTTATTTCACTTGCATATCACTCACTTATTTTCTTTACAGAAGAGAACAAAAGTGCTTGAATTATGCATAAAATATTTTAAAAGGCGTCTTTCAGATAAAGTACTTTATATTATTAAGCATTGTAAAATTATTATTGCACATCACTTTTATTATGTAGCTCATTTTAAATGGGCCAGAATATTTTAATCATCAAAGAAAAGCCATAGTTTGTAGCTTAAGATTGAAAATATATCTGCACATTTTTTCCTTAAAATATGCATGCGTGATTTTCAGCCACGTTTAACTAATGTGTTTTGGAAATATGTTACAATAGTAAATGCAACAAATCTCAGTCAAGGAAAAAAGTCATATAAAAAGTGTGATTAATAGCAATATTTTTTTTTCATTTTACAGAAGTCCCTATTTTGAAATATGGATCATTTTACATGATAACCTCTATATTTCCATGTCATTTATCTGAACTGTAGTTTAGATAAGCTGTAGTATATTACAACTCTGCCTTGTAATATACTGTATATTACAACTCTGGGTGCAGAATTGCAAATTATATCAAAGAAACAAACTATCAAAACAACATAAATTACCCACTATGCACTTGCAAAGAAAAAAAATGCAACTGTTAAAGAATTAAAGAGTAATAAAAAAAATCAAATAAAGCCCACAGCATGGATGCATATATATCCAGAAATGAAAATATATTTGGAGTCATATTATTGGAAATTATTTCTTAATTGAACTAGTGATGTGAAAATGAAAGTTGTTAGATCATTTTGATGGGTGATCTTCATAATCAGCTCCTGGTAAGCTTATAAAATATGTATGTTCCTCCTGTATGTAAGACAGACATTTCCCTGACTATGTCACTTTCCTCAGATGTGACTCCACAGTAAAACTGAGCTGGTTTTTAAAATGTGCATTAAAAATTTTGGATGAGAGCACATTTCTGTAAGGCAAAATTGGTTTGTGGTTTCTATTGTAAGAAAGAGAATTACTGTGCACAGTATAGGAAGTCTAATTTTATGGCTTGCATGGATGGGTAGTAGCTAGAGTCTTCAGCTCAACCATACATGTCATGAATAACAACACATTGAATTTACATAGCTATTTCCTCAGTGGAATTCCAAGAACTACATAATCTCATTTGGACTCATAACATCTCTTCCAGGCTACAAACTAGGAAATGTCTCCATTTTAAACAATGGAAAAGAAAAGGCGTATAGAGATTGGACCACACCTTGCACCAAGTAGATTAGAAAACAGTTTTCTGGTAATGGAAATGGGTTCCAACAATCCCTTTCGAGAAATTCCAAGTGTCAAGCCTTTGCTGATCAGGTCCAGGTACCACATTTTCACAGTGGCCAGTCTCAGACCACTATTGTAAGACAGATAAGCCTTAGGACTGGGAGAACCAGATGTGTGCATTTTCAACAACCTTCTCTTAGCACCCCTCCCCACTTGGCCCAGTACCGACTACCACTGCCACCCTAGCTGACACTCATGCCACCTGACTCTGTCTCAGAACTGTGCCTTCTGGGGCCTAGTGCCCATCCCTTGCCTTGACCCTCAAGAGTTCTGATCTCCCTAGACTTTGGCTTCTACAAAATGTATCTTCTCTGTTTATTCCATTTTATTAGCTTAACTAACCACAGCACTCTCCTCTTCCACTTGGCTTCTATGCCTGAGTTCTCCTTCCTGGCTTCTCCTTCAGCATGGTGCTGCTGATCATCTTTAAACCCAGCCTGCGGCTTGATGCTCTCATATATTACTCACAGGACAGGCCCCAGCCAGCTTGTCAGTGGGGCTGTATCCTCGTGGCCCCAGTTTTCACTCTAGGGCAAGAGCTCCAGTAGCAGTGGACTCTAGTGTATTTCTATGTAACTCTAATGGCCTTAACGTGAGCCTAAAGCGAACAGAGTCACAGATTAAGACCCCAGGCAGCCTCCCCATTCTGTGGCCACAGATGTATCACCAATAACTGGCCAGCAGTGCTGCAGAAGCCTAATGTTGTTACAGAGAACAAAAGGGAAAAGTGAGGCCAATTAGTGGCTAAGACAAAAACCCCAAGATGCACATTCCACAAGCCATAGGATTGTCACATAATCTCCCTAACAGAAGGGACATTGGATAATTATAGTCTTGCTCAAAATCCAGCACTATCACTGTATTGCTCTTGAAATAATCAACAGTACTACCAAAAAATGGCAGCATGTGGGGGTTTTCTGCTAAGCAATACCCCAGCTTCCTGAGACACTCCGAGTTGTGGTGTAAGTAGGTAGCTTGCAAACAAGGCCACTTTAAGACAAGCAAGTTCTTCCTCTTGGAAAAGTAGAGTCTAGGCTTCCAGAAGCTGACTATTTGACTTGGCTTGAAAAGTATGACCCCACGGTGGCTGGCAAGACGGCTGAATAGGAACAGCTACCATTTGCAGTTCCCAGCGAGATCAACACAGAGGGCAGGTGATTTCTGCATTTGCAACTGAGGTACCCAGCTCATCTCATTGGGACTGCCTAGACAGTGGGTGCAGCCCACAGAGGGTGAGCTGAAGCAGGATGGGGCATCACCTCACTCATGAAGGGCAAGGGGTCAGGGAACTCCCTCCCCTAGCCAAGGGAAGCCATGAGGGAATGTGCTGTTAGGAACTGTGCAATACAGCCCAGACACTATCCATTTCCCATGGTCTTCACAACCTGCAGATGAGGAGATTCCCTCAGAAGCCTACACCACCAGGGTCCTGGGTTTCAAGCACAAAACTGGGTGGCCATTTGGGCAGACACCGAGCTAGCTGGAGGAGTTTTTCATACCCCAGTAGCACCTGGAATGCCAGTGAGAAACAATTGTTCGCTCCCATGGAAAGGGGGCTGAAGCCAGGGCACCAAGTGGTCTAGCTCAGCAGATCTCACTCCCATAAAGCCCAGCAAGCTGAGATCCACTAGCTTGAAATTCTCGCTGCCAGCACACAGTCCGAAGTTGACCTGGGATGCTTGAGCTTGGTAGGGGGAGGGGAGTCCGCCATTACTGAGGCTTGAGTAGGAAGTTTTCCCCTCACAGTGTAAACAAAGCCCCTGGGAAGTTCAAACTTGGTGGAGCCCACCACAGCTCGGCAAAGCCACTGTAGCCAGACTGCCTTTCTAGAGTCCTCCTCTCTGGGCAGGGCATCTCTGAAAGAAAGGAGCAGCCCCAGTCAGGGGCTTATAGATAAAACTCCCATCTCCCTGGGACAGAGCACCTGGGGGAAGGGGCGGCTGTGGGTGTAGCTTCAGCAGACTTAAGCATTCCTGCCTACCAGCTTTGAAGAGAGCAGCAGATCTCCCAGCACAGCAATCAAGCTCTGCTAAGAGACAGACTGCCTCCTCAAGTTGGTCCCTGACCCCCATGCCTCCTGACTGGGAGACACCTCCCAGCAGTGATCAACAGACACCTCATACAGGAGCACTCTGGCTGGCATCTGGTGTGTTCCCCTCTGGGATGAAGCTTCCAGAGGAAGGAACAGGCAGCATTCTTTGCTGTTTTGCAGCCTCTGCTGGTGATACTCAGGAAAACAGGGTCTGGAGTGGACCTCCAGCAAACTCCAGCAGACCTGCAGCAGAAGGGACTGACTATTAGAAGGAAAACTAACAAACAGAAAGGAATAGCATCAACAGCAACAAAAAGAACATCCACACAGAAACTCCATCCAAAGGTCAACAACATCAAAGACCAAAGGTAGATAAATCCACGAAGATTAGGAAAAACCAGTGCAAATAGGCTAAAATTTTCAAAAACCAGAATGCCTCTTCTCCAGAGGATCACAACTCCTCATCAGCAAGGTGACAAAACTGGACAAAGAATGAGTTTGATGAATTGACAGAAGTAGGCTTCAGAAGGTGGGTAATAACCAACTCCTCCAAGCTAAAGGAGCATGTTCTAACCCAATGCAAGGAAGCTAATAACCTTGAAAAAAGGTTAGAGGAATTGCTAACCAGAATAACCAGTTTAGAGAAGAAAATAAATGACCTGGTGGAGCTGAAAAACACAGCATGAGAACTTAATGAAGCATGCACAAGTATCAATAACCGAATCAATCAAGCGGAAGAAAGGATATCAGAGATTGAAGATCAACTTAATGAAATAAGGCATGAAGACAAGATTAGAGAAAAAAGAATGAAAAGGAATGAACAAAGCCTTCAAGAAATATGGAACTATGTGAAAAGACTAAACCTACATTTGATTCATATACCTGAAAGTGATGGGGAGAATGGAACCAAGGTGGAAAATACTCTTCAGGATATTATCCAGGAGAACTTCCCAGACCTAGCAAGACAGGCCAAGAGTCAAATTCAGGAAATACAGAGAACACCACAGAGATACTCCTCGAGACAAGCAACCCCAAGACACATAATTGTCAGATTCACCAAGGTTGAAATGAAGGAAAAAATGTTAACGGCAGCCAGAGAGAAAGGTCGGGTTATGCACAAAGGGAAGCCCATCAGACTAACAATGGATCTCTCTGCAGAAACCCTACAAGCCAGAAGAGAGTGGGGGCCAATATTCAACATTCTTAAAGAAAAGAATTTTCAACCCAGAATTTCATATCCAGCCAAACTAAGCTTCATAAGCAAAGGAGAAATAAACTCCTTTACAGACAAGCAAATGCTGAAGGATTTTGTCACCACTAGGCCTGCCTTACAAAAGCTCCTGAAGAAAGCACTAAACATGGAAAGGAAAAACTGGTAGCAGCCACTGCAAAAAACATACTAAATTGTAAAGACCATTGAAACTATGAAGAAACTGCATCAACTAATGGGCAAAATTACCAGCTAGCATCACAATGACAGGATCAAATTTACACATAACAATATTAACCTTAAATGTAAATGGGCTAAATGCCCCAATTAAAAGACACAGGCTGCCAAATTGGATAAAGAGTCAAGACCCATCAGTGTGCTGTATCCAGAAGACCCATCTCACATGCAGAGACACACATAGGCCCAAAATAAAGGGATGGAGGAAGATCTACCAAGCAAATGGAAAGCAAAAAAAAGCAGGGATTGCAATCCTAGCCTCTGATAAAAACAGACTTTAAACCAGCAAAGTTCAAAAGAGACAAAGAAGGCCATTACATAATGGTAAGGGGAGCAATGCAACAAGAAGAGCTAACTATCCTAAATATATATGCACCCAATACAGGAGCACCCAGATTCATAAAGTAAGTTCTTAGAGACCTACAAAGAGACTTAGACTCCCACACAATAATAGTGGGAGACTTTAACACCCCACTATCTATATTAGACAGATCAACAGGACAGAAAATTAACAAGGATATTCAGGAGTTGAACTCAGCTCTGGACCAACCAAACCTAATAGACATCTACAGAACTCTCCACCCCAAATCAACAGAATATACATACTTATTAGCATTTATTCTAAAATTGACCACATAATTGGAAGCAAAACACTTCTCAGCAAATGCAAGAGAACAGAAATCCTAACAAACAATCTCTTAGACCGCAGTTCAATCAAATTAGAACTCAGGATTAAGAAACTGTCTGAAAACTGCACAACTACATGGAAATTGAACAACCTGCTCCTGAATGACAACTGGGTAAATAACGATATTAAGGCAGAAATAAATAAGTTCTTTAAAACCAATGAGAATGAAAATACAATGTACCAGAATCTCTGGGACACAGCTAAACTAGTGTTTACAGGGAAATTTATAGAACTAAATGCCCACAGGAGAAAGTGGGAAAGATCTAAAATCAGCACCCTAAAATCACAATTAAAAGAACTAGAGAAGCAAGAGCAAACACATTCAAAAGCTAGCAGGAGACAAGAAATAACTAAGATCACAGCAGGACTGAAGGAGATAGAGACACAAAAAACCCTTCAAAAAATCAAAGAATCCAGGAGCTGGTTTTTTGAAAAGATTAACAAAATAGACCGCTAGCCAGACTAATAAAGAAGAAAAGAGTGAAGAATCAAATAGACAAAACAAAAAATGATAAAGGGGAGATCACCACTGATCCCGCAGAAATACAAACTACCATCAGAGAATATTATAAACACCTCTATGCAAATAAACTAGAAAATCTAGAAGAAATTGTTAAACTCCTGGAAATGTACACCCTCCCAAGACTAAACCAGGAAGAAGTCAAATCCCAGAATACACCAATAACAAGTTCTAAAATTGAGGCAGTAATAGCCTAACAACCAAAAAAAGCCCAGAACCAGATGTATTCACAGCCGAATTCTACCAGAGGTACAAAGAGGAGCTAGTACCATTCCTTCTGAAACTATTCCAAACAATAGAAAAAGACGGACTCCTGCCTAACTTGTTTTATGAGGCCAGCATCATCCTGATACCAAAACCTGGCAGAGACACATCAAAAAAGGAAATTTTAGGCCAATATCCCTGAAGAACATCAATGCAAAAATCCCCAATAAAATACAGGCAAACCAAATCCAGTAGCACATCAAAAAGCTTATCCACCATGATCAAGTGGGCTTCATCCCTGAGATGCAAGGCTGGTTCAACATACCCAAATCAATAAACGTAATCTATCACATAAACAGAACCAATGACAAAAACCACATGATTATCTCAACAGATGCAGAAAAGGCCTTCGATAAAATTCAACACCCCTTCATGCTAAAAACTCTCAATAAACTAGGTAATAATGGAAAGTATCTCAAAAAAATAAGAGCAATTTATGACAAACCCACAGCCAATATCATACTGAATGGGCAAAAGCTAGAAGCATTCCCTTTGAAAACCAGCACAAGACAAGGATGCCCTCTCTCACCACTCCTATTCAACATAGTACTGGAAGTTCTGTCCAGGACAATCATGCAAAAGAAAGAAATAAAGGGTATTCAAATAGGAAGAGAGGAAGTCAAATTGTCTCTGTTTGCAGATGACATAATTGCATATTTAGAAAACTCCATGGTCTCAACCCAAAATCTCCTTAAGCTGAGAAGTAATGTCAGCAAAGTCTCAGGATACAAAATCAATGTACAAAAATCACAAGCATTCCGATATAACAATAATAGAGAGCCAAACCATAAGTGAATTCCCATTCACAATTGCTACAAAGAGAATAAAATAACTAGGAATACAACTTACAAGGGATGTGAAGGATCTCCTCAAGGAGAACTACAAACCACTGCTCCAGGAAATAAGAGTGGACACAAACAAATGGAAAAACATTCCATGCTCACGGATGGTAAGAATCAATATCATGAAAATGGCCATACTGCCCAAAGTAATTTATAGATTCAATGCTATCTCCATCAAGCTACCATTGACTTTCTTCACAAAATTAGAAAAAACTACGTTAAATTTCATTGGAACCAAAAAGGAGCCCATATAGCCAAGACAATCCTAAGCAAAAAGAACAAAACTGAAGGCATCATGCTACCTGACTTCAAACTATACTACAAGCTTACAGTAACCAAAACAACATGGTATTGGTACCAAAACAGAGATATAGGCCAATCGAACAGAACAGAGGACTCAGAAGTAATGCCACACATCTACAACCATCTGATCTCTGACAAACCTGACAAAAACAAGCAATGGGGAAAGGATTCCCTATTTAATAAATAATGTTGGGAAAACTGGCTAGCCATATGCAGAAAATTGAAACTGGACCCCTTCCTTACACCTTATACAAAAATTAACTCACAGATTTAATTTTTTAATTAAAATTAAAATCTTTAATTAAAGATTTAAACGTAAGACTTAAAACAATAAAAACCTAGAAGAAAACCTAGGCAATACCATTCAGGACATAGGCATGGGCAAAGACTTCATGACTAAAACACCAAAAGCAATTACAACAAAAACCAACATTGACAAATGGGATCTAATTAAACTAAAGAGCTCTTGTACAGCAAAAGAAACTATCATCAGAGTGAACAGGCAACCTACAGAATGGGAGAAAATTTTTGCAATCTACCCATCTGACAAAGGGCTAATATCCAGAATCTACAAAGAACTTAAACAAATATACAAGAAAAGAACAACCCCATCAGAAAGTGGGCAAAGGATATGAACAGACACTTCTCAAAAGAAGGCATTTATGCAGCCAAAAAACATATGAAAAAAAGCTCATCATCACTGGTCATTAGAGAAATGCAAATCAAAACTACAATGAGATACCATCTCATGCCAGTTAGAATGGCAATCATTAAAAAGTCAGGAAACAACAGATGCTGGAGAGGATATGGAGAAATAGGAACACTTTTACACTGTTGGTGAGAGTGTAAATCAGTTCAACCCTTGTGGAAGTCAGTGTGGCGATTCCTCAGGGATCTAGAACCAGAAATACCATTTGACCCAGCAATCCCATTACTGGGTATATACCCAAAGGATTATAAATCATGCTACTATAAAGACACAGGCACACATATGTTTATAGCAGCACTGTTCACAATAGCAAAGACTTGGAACCAACCCAAATGCCCATCAATGATAGACTGCATAAAGAAAAGGATTTGACCCAGCCATCCCATTACTGGGTATATGCCCAAAGGACTATAAATCATGCTGCTATAAAGACACATGCACACGTATGTTTATTGCGGCATTATTCACAATAACAAAGACTTGGAACCAACCCAAATGTCCAACAATGATAGACTGGATTAAGAAAATGTGGCACATATACACCATGGAATACTATGCAGCCATAAAAAATGATGAGTTCATGTCCTTTGTAGGGACATGGATGAAATTGGAAATCATCATTCTCAGTAAACTATCTCAAGAACAAAAAACCAAACACCGCATATTCTCACTCATAGGTGGGAATTGAACAATGAGAACACATGGACACAGGAAGGGGAACATCACACTCTGGGGACTGTTGTGGGTTGGGGGGAGGGGGGAGGGATAGCATTGGGAGATATAGCTAATGCTAGATGATGAGTTAGTGGGTGCAGCGCACCAGCATGGCACATGTATACATATGTAAATAACCTGCACATTGTGCACATGTACCCTAAAACTTAAAGTATAATAATAATAATAATAAAGAAAACAAAACAAAAAAAAAAGACAAGGTGAGACATATACACCATGGAATACTATGCAGCCATAAAAAGGATGAGTTCATGTCCTTTGCAGGGACATGGATGAAGCTGAAAACCATCATTCTCAGCAAACTAACACAAGAACAGATAACTAAACACTGCATGTTCTCACTCATAAGTGGGAGTTGAACAATGAGAATACATGGACACAGGGAGGGAAACATCACACACCGGGGCCTGTTGGGGGGTGGGGGGCTAAGGGAGGGATAGCATTAGGAGAAATACCTAATGTAGATGATGGGTTGATGGGTGCAGCAAACCACCATGACACGTGTATACCTATGTAACAAATCTGCACGTTCTGCACATGTATCCCAGAACTTAAAGTATAATTTTTTTAAAAAGTATGACCCCATAAATTTTGGCATCTTCTCTCTATCCTAATCTTTTCTGGCCATTTTGTAACTGAGCTCCACCTCACTGTCATTATCTCTCACCACCATTTCAGCCACTTAGCTCTGCCTGCTCTTCAATGCAGTTACCTGCCTAGGCTGTCCCAACTAGTTCCTCATTCATTAGAACACACCCAAGTACAAGGTTCTAGTTTCCTCCTCAGAAGCCTATCTCAACTGAGCATTTGGTTTAAATGATTTTTAATCATTACTATCCATTCACAACTCTCACTCCCAATCCCTCCAAAAAATTCACTTTACATTCATTCTTTTATTTTTTCTTTCTAACATAATCCATGTTTTTTCCAGTATGAAATTGGGCCGAGCTGAAAATATTCACCTTCCTACACTCCCTTGTAGTTAGGGTGGTCCTGAGAGCCAGCCCTGGCCAATTGACACAAGGAAGTCTTCAGAGAGAACATCCCTTTCCAAACAAGAAGAAAGACTCAAAGGCAAACAGATTGGGCCCATATTCTACCAGTATGGAATGTGGATATGGAGCTAAAGATGGAAAACCCAATTTACAATCATTAGGCAGCAAACCTGAAGGCAGAAGTCCCATGCTAAGGATGGCGGAGTGGAAGGATTTGAGTAGCACGGACTCTGATGCATGTGGGGCTATTCCCTACCATGGACTGCCCACCTCTAAACTTCTTGTTATGAAAAAAATAATATATTCTTATTTGGTTAAGCTACTCTGACCAGATTGTTCTATTTTTCTATTACTTACAGCCAAATGCATTCCTACTTGATACATTGCTCACTTTTTTCTCATTTAATTTTGATGAGACTGGGCTGTTTTCACATCCAAACGGCCAAAGCTCAGAGTTGTACTTTTAGACTTCTTGACTTTTTAATTTTTAACTGGAAATACCTCCCAATATTTGACCTACAAGATGAAAGCCACTTCACGGATGATGAGGGATACTAATGATGAAAGATAAGTATAACCATGATTACTTCAATAATACACCCTGGCTTAAACCAAAGGAACATGAAGTAACACAAAGAGCAAACAATTTCATCTCAGAATATCTATGTGTGAGTCCTCCTCTCTTCATTGCTCACTAGGTGTGTAGCCAGGAGCAAGTCACCTAAACCCCTCCAAGCCACAGTTTCCTCACCCATAAAACAGAGATAATAATAATGTCTATCTCGTAGAGTTGCTGTCAACATTAAATGAAAAATCGTATATATGAATAAGTACAGCTTTTGTGGGCCATAATACTTCTCTAAGAGAAGAGTCTTTTCTCCATATGAATAAATATCTGGCATTTTAAAATAATTTCTTTTCTAAATATATTTCCTATAATTTTGGTAACAGCCTCTGTCTTAGTCCATGTAGATTACTATCACAAAATACCACAGACTGGATAGCTTATAAACAACGTTTACTTCTCATAGTTCTGAAGGCTGGGAAGTCCAAAATCAAGGCACTAGCAGATTAAGTGTCTGGTGAGGGCTGTCTTCTTGCTGTAAACTGACATGGTAGAAAGGGGCAAGACAGGTATTTGGGGCCTCTTTTATAAAGGCACTAATGCCATTCATGAGGGCTTCAACTTCATGACCAAATCATCTCCCAAAGACCCCACCTAATACCATCACATTGGTGATTAGGTTTTCAACTTATGAATTTTGGGTGGACATATACATTCAGACCATAGCATTCTCCTGACTGTTTTCAAGCAAGATCAGGTAAAGGCACTAGAAGTTACCTTTTTTGTGGATGCTTAAGAAAGGTGACTGGAGAGGCCCCAAAAATTCATCTTGTCCTTAATTGGCTCTAGGGATGCATTGATAAGGCAGGCCCACACTAGTGAAAAACAAAAGCACAGATAACTCAGTCCCTGCCCTACCTACCAGGTCTGACCTACAAAATCAAACCTCCAAAACCTACTGAAACCAGAAAACTGGGAATTTTTGGTGGACAGGCTTTGAATATTCATTAAGGGGAATTTGTTCACTTTGTATACTGTGTGCTTATCTATTCTTCTCTGTGGCTTCAATAGAGATCATCCCCTGGACTGTATGAATGTATCCCATATTATTATTTTCAGGAATCAGAACAAAAAAGGAAACAATATTTGTAAAAACTGGAAACTCATTTTTCTTCCCTCCCCTCCTTTCGTTTTTCCACTTAATGAATAATTAGTCATAAATATCCGGGAACTAATAAGACTTGGAAACAATTTGAGAGCTATACCTTATAAACTTACAAAAGAAATTACCTAAAACCAAGGACTTTGAGATGTCCTAATGATGTTGAAAAGCAGTGCGTATTTCTAAGCATCCTTCCCCAGTGACAACAGCTCTCCTTAAGTTGTCATTGTCATTTCCATAATGCTTAGATCCTGTGGTTTTTAAAGTGCATGTATTGTCTACAATATGCAGCACCATGCTGATGAGGGTTACAAATGTTTCCTTGTAGAGTTTAAGCTTTTGTCCCTTCTGTCAAGATTGGTAAGTGTCACTGTCTTCATTTCTGCCTGCGTTTCATGTGGATCTGGACATTAACTTCTGTACCAATTTCTATGAATACTCATTGCAACCTTGTTGATCATCAAGCCTGACAAGGTTAACCTTGAGAACGTGAAAGTCAGATGAAAGCAGATCTGAGAAGTGTGGTCAGGGAGGTGACTGGATGTTCTCGAGCCTTGTGAGAGAAAGGTGTTTGCAGGCTTCATTGCATCCCTGAAGCCTGGATCCACAGCTCTCTCTAGCTCGTGCTGTCTCTCTCTCTCAGTCCCCATCCCTATTCTCAGGGCTGCTAGGCCTGAGTCAAAGGCCAACCTTGTCACGTTTTCTGTGGATCTCAACACTGAACCATGGTGCTGTGTAAGGGAAAACATGTCATTTGGAATTGAACAAATAGAGTATTTACCAGCTTGTGCAAGTATTTACATTCTCCAAAATGTTGTTTCCTCGGTTATAAAATGTAAAAAATACTGACAACATATGAGCACCTTCTTATGTTTCAGGAATGGAAAATAGAGGGGGTTAAATGATTGGCTTCTCTCAAAAGCACTTTGTCATCAAGTCTTAAAAACGTCTACCCCATTTGACCAGGTAATTTCACCCTGGGAAATCAATCCTGAAGAAATCATCTGAAATGCATATTTGCAAGTGTGTGTTCTCCAGAGTGTCTCTCTCCAAAAACTTCTCTTAATCCACTAATCCTGTGGTTTTTCTCTTTCTTCCACCTCCAGCAATCTGCTCTCCTCTCGGGGGTAAGGATTCTTCTTCCTTAGGCAAGAGGAAACAAAGAAGACAAATGCAGAATTCTCTTTGGCAGGCAGGTCCTCCAGCAGCCTTACCCACAGCTCAAATTTTTATGCAGCCCCAAGTTTCCTCTTGTGGCCAGCAATACTAAAGGAAGGCAAGGAGTCCTTAGTTAATTGGTTCATTGGAGATCCAGTTGCACATCCTACCTATCATTTGAGCACTCCTCTTGCTCCAAGAGTACGCAAAGTCCACTTTAATTTCTCACCTCACTTTACCACCACATTATACTCTAAGGCAAAAGTTTCAACAATTACTTCTTGAGTACCCACTATGTTCCTGGAATATAACAGTAAATAAGACACAAATGTGGCGTCTCTGTGGCTGTCCTCACTTTAGAATTTATCTAGCCTTGTGTTAAACAACTGTGAGGTATAAGAATCTATATCATCCTCTGCTAAGTCACAGAAGAATTGAGTGACACTCAGGCTTAGATCTGAAAAGGAACCTCAATGTGGAATAGAAGGGCCTTTACAATCCTCCAAAAGACAGTGATTTAGAATGGGAGTTATAGCCTATAGTCCTCGGGTAGGTTTCATGGGGCCTATAATCTTCTAATATTGTTGGCAAATTTTTCTGTATACATATGTGCATTTTTCTCTGGAAAGGGTCTATGACCTCATACACCTCCATGAACCAAAAAGGTTAAGAAACTACTGCTCCTGAGCAATGTCCAAGGAAATGAACTCCAGAAGTAGAATCTGATAGTGGTTGGGTCATACCCTGAATCCTGGTGCTCTGGCCATATCACTGGAAACATCAAGTCAACTGGTTGGCAAAAGCACTGTGGATACCAAACCTACAAGACCTTCTCTCATCTGTTCTCTTGCATAGCTGCTGCTGAAGGCATTTCCCACAAGTGTGCTCTCCCTCAAAACACTTCTTCCTATCTTGCACATAGAAAAAAAGAAAAAGAGAGAGGGGGAGAGAGAGAGAAAAGAAAAAAAAAAGTAGATAGATAAGACATCCATACACTGAGAACATAAAAACCTGCGATTAGAATCTCTCTAGTCAAAAAGAAGTAATTTTCTCTTTCACTTGTTATTCTAATTTATTGACTTAAAAATTCTAAACTTATGAGGCTCTGGACCAGTAATACAAAAATAGCAAAGTGTCAATGAAAAACTATCAGTCTCTCAATATGGAGAGTCTTTTTTCAAATATCTTGGAAATCTAATTAGAATGATTAATTCAGCATGGCTACAACTAGTCCTTTTGTTAAGATTAAGTGCTTGTATTCATGTCTTGATACATTTTTTAAAAATAACTCTCCTACCTTCCTCCATTTCCTTCTGTATTTTCTCCCATCTCTGAATTTAAATATCCATCTCACTACAATTCTGTTGCTTCCTTAAATTGTATTTTTAAAACTGGCAAACATACATGTCTCCAAAGGAGAGACTGACATGCTGCAATTTGCCCATAGTTCACATACCAAGGCACACCCTGCAATTTCCTTTTATACCCTTAAAGAAGTAAAAGATCAACTTTCTAAATGAAAGCTTCTAGAAGTATAGCTTGAAATTTATACACAATGACACTCTAAACAACTCACCAGGGAAAATGTTGCAATCCACAGCTGTTACAAACTGCCTGTAATTCAAAACTTTCTCAAAGCTGTTTCTTAGCAGGACCTACTTATCCTAATACAATTGTTTTGCCAATCTTTCTTTTAAGGTTTTGGTTTTATAAAATTGATTTTGAGTAAATCTGTGACAGGATGGTATAGAATATGGCATCCCTCTCCACTGAGATCTACTGCAAGATAGTTCAAGATACAGAGGGGAGGGAAAGGCCTATGTTTTACAACTGGCAGTAAACTTCCTCTTCAAGAGAAAGATGTCTTTTCTTTGATGGCCTTTGGTTATAAAAATGAAAGCATGCAATAACATGATTGTACTAGTCTGTTTTCACACTGCTGATAAAGACATACCCAAGACTGGGCAAATTACAAAAGAAAGAGGTTTAATTGGATTTACAGTTCCACGCGGCTGAGGAAGCCTCACAATCATGGTGGAAGGCAAGGAGGAGCAAGTCATCTTTTACATGGATGGCAGCAGGCAAAGAAAGACAGAGCTTGTGCAGAGGAACTCCTCTTTTTAAAACCATCAGTTCTCGTGAGACTTACTATCACGACAACAGTATGGGAAAGATTTGCCCCTATGATTCAATTAGCTCCCTCTAGGCCCCTCCCACAACATGTGGGAATTCAAGATGAGATTTTGGTGGGAACACAGCCAAACCATATCAATGATCAAGAAGAAGAAAATGAGAGACCTGAATTATTCTACTTTTTTTTTTTTTAATGAAAGGAGTTTTGAGTTGCCAGAAAGATGCAGAAGGACAGATTAGGGAGACAGATGAGAGAAGAGAAAGAAAACTGATAGTTGGCAGGAGGCCAAGGAACTGGACTTTTCAAAATGGGGCAACTAATACTCAATTTTAAGTAATCTTCTGCTATAGGTATTTTGCTCTAATGCAACTCCCATTTTTACCACAGAACCTCTGTGAAATTCCTTGCTTTTATGAGTGGTATTTGAGGTAAACTAAGGAAAAGGCATTGTGTTCCACATTTTGGTTGACTTGGGGCATAGAAAGGGGAACAGACACAAGAGTCAAGGTGACAGTAAATTTGAAAACTCTGAGGAGCAGAAAATTAGGCCAATAAACGACGAAGAGGACGAAGTCCTCCCCGAGAATCTTCAGAGTTAGTGGACAGATGCTGTGTCATTTAGGCTTTGTCAGACAAGCAGAGCCACTATATGGGATTTGCTATAGGAACTCCACCTTATGTAATTGTAGGAGCTGTTGAGGAACCCTATGGGAGGCTGTCAGTCCTTGTCTGTTATAGCCCTGCAGGCTCTGTAGAGTTTCTCAGTACCAGCAGTTGGTAAGAACAGCTGGACATTTAAAAGGCAGGACAAGGACAAACTGGAACCTACAAAGACCAGCTGGAACCCTCATCTCCCTCTCTCTATCTCCAGCCTCAATGGCACAGAAGGAGCTGGAACACTTCACCACAGAGCCATCCACACACCCAGCTTAGGATCTGGAGAAGCTAAAGGAGATGATCCAGCAGGGGCTGGGGAGCTGTGGGCTTGGCTGCTGCCTTGTGCTAACAGGATGAGCAACAGATCAGGGACAACAGGCATGAACTTCAAGAGTGCCTAGTACCCCACACTGAACTTCCACACATAGTGGCTCACTGTGGGTAATAGTGAAAGGAATAACTCCCATCTCACACAGCTTTGCTGAATCCATGGATCCTACCTCTGTGAAAGAGAGCATTGTATATTGGTCACTGATTTACAGTATTTGCCACATCCTGAAGACTTTACCTCAAACCTGTGAGATGTTCCTTCCCAGCCAGTATGGAAACTAAATTTTTGAAAGGCTATTTCAGCATTCTATCAGACCAGCTACTTCATGGTAACAGGGAACATGGTAATATCAGTAGATTCCATCAGCATGAGTCCACAATTGCTGTTAAGTAAGTTCCTTGGTCAGAAGCAGTGTTATAAGAATACCTTGATGTGAATCATACTATGTAAGTCCACAGATGGTGATTTTGACAAAAGCCTTGAGGGCAAGGAAAACAAATCCATATTTAGAGTAAATGTCTCTTTCAGTGAGAACAAAGCACTGCCTCTTCTAAGATGGATGTGGTCCATTGCAACCAACCTACCAGCAGGTATTTCAGCCTGCTGGGGAATGGTACCATGTCAGGGGCTCAAAGTTGTACTCTGCTGTTGGCAGATTGGACATTCAACAGTGACTATAGACAGATCAGCCATAGTGAGTGGAAGTCCATGTTGCTGAGTCCATATGAAACTTCTACCCCTGCTGCCATGGCCACTTTGTTCATGAGTCCATTGGGCATGGATGGAATGGCTGCAGAGAAAGCCTGCTTGATGTCCACAGAGCAGCGCATCTTGTTCATCTGATTATTAAAATCCTCTTTTACTGAGGTTGCTCTTTGACGAGCAATCACATGGAACAAAGGTCTTCACTCTCTATGCCCATTCAGAAAGATCTATCAACACACCTCCTTGTCACCAATTGTCTAGTTGTGTTCTTTCTTGGGGGGATGCAAACAGTCAGTCCATAACATGAACCATCTAGTCAAACCATTAGCCACTGCCTGCCAGTATAAGGCTGTACCTGGGGCCATCTCCTCTTCCAGGAAAAATTAATAAGTAGGTGTACTCCTTGAAGTACTGTCCAACAATAGGAGCTCCCTTCACTACCATAGTTCAAAGCCACCCCAGAGTGGGGCAGTAGTGCTGAGCTATCCATTTTTAGGATGTGCCAGCATAGCATACCAATCTATAAACCAGGCCTGAATTGTTTTCTTCCTCAGTCAATATTTGCCATAGGCAACCCCCTAAAAGCCATATATATTTGTCTTTAGATATCCATGGGGGATTGGTTCTAGGAGCCCTTCAAATACCAAAATCCACAGATGTGGTAGTCCCTTATATAAAATAGAATAGTATTTGCATGCAACTTTTGCACATCCTCCTGTATACTTTAAATCATCTCCAGATTACTTATAACTAATACAATGTAAATGCTGTGTAAATAGTTGTTATTTCTTTCTTAGTATGACTTTTATTATTGTATTGCTTTTTTTTTTCAAAATAGTTTTTAATCCTCAGTTGGTTGACTCTATAATGCAGAACCCTCAGATTTGGAGGGCTATGTGGGTTGAGAGAGAGGAGGCAACATAACATGAGGAGGGGCATCTGGGCAACTTGCCAAGCAACTTACTCATGCCTTCAGGATCTACTTAAGCTGTACTGCATACACAACATTTTTATTTTTTTGAGAGGGCCAAAAACACCCAGTTTATTGTCCACAGCTCCTGTTCATTGGGTGGCCCATGACCAAGTGTTGAGTCTCTGCCAAGGCCAAGGAGCAATCCATAAGCAGTTTCTCAAAGAATAGCCATCTAAAAAGGATGGTAGAGCTTTGCTCCAAAATTCTAAAGACAGGCACTGTAATTCACCTGGAGCAGCCTGCCACAGTCTCCACACACATCCCAATCTATTCAGACACTTCGAGCACCATTGGATGGGCTAGGTAATATAGCAGAGCACTTTGCACAGCAACCTGGGCCTCTTTCTGGGTGACATTTTGGCCTCTGTCAGCAATCATTTGAATGTACACTTGATATACAATCACTTGCATTTTTTTCTCCACTAATTTAGAACTTGAGTTAAAAAAAAAGAGGCTGTTTATTGTGTGCTCCTCAAATACTCTTAACACAAAGGATGTGGGGACTCTGGCTATTTTTATTTAAATATTTAAGGAAACAGTAGACCCATAAGGCTGAAGCTCTTCAGGATATCCAGTGACTGACGTGTGTAAGACATCAATCCTAAAAATGAAGGGAAGAACGAAACAGCAATGACTATAAGACCTCTCTGACACCAAAACAATTTGTTGCAAAGTGAAAAATTCAGTCAATCAAATCTTTGGTTTTTTCCACTGCACTAAGCTTCCACTTTGATGGACCATTCATTTTGGTTTCACAGCCTATAAATAACAATCCTAAGCTTCCATGCAAAGGAGAGCCTTCAGTGAAATTGAGAATCTTTTTAACTATGTAAACATTACAGTTGCAAACTCTTATCATATTTATTTTGTATTCTTTCAGGCCAAACTGAACAAAAAATGCCAATTTGACCCAGTTTAAAAAACAAAGAGGACAGAGATTTTACTTGAAATTGAGTCATTTTTATTCTTGTCATCTCTGCCTTGGACATAGACATTTAATATTTAAATGTTATTCCCTGTGAGAACTGGACTTTCCGCATTTTGTGGCTCTGACAGGATTCAAATTTCAGATTCTACCTTGTGTGAAAATATCATTTCAAAGTGTGTGCCCCAGGAGAATAATAATAAACCTGAGTCCTGGCATTTTTGTAAATGAACTTTTTTCAGAGGTCTCTTAAAATATAGTGTATTCTCCCTCCTTCCTAGACACCAGGAGTTAAGCAACAATGCCTTTTATTTTCTTCCAGTTAAGTTCCGTCTGAATATGTTACTTATTGCAAGCACAATGAGTAATTGCTAAATGAATTAAGATTATTTCATCTGCATTTAATACACTAACTATATACTTTATACTATGCTAACCCTGCCCTTTTATACTAATTTAAAATGTTACATTAATTGTCTCTCATTATAATTTGACTATTAAAAAACATTGTTATTTTTCTTGTTATTAGTATAATCCTGAAAACACCTGCCCACTATGTACTAAATACTAGAAGCTGCTGTGATTAATAGTAGCAAATCCTGTGAAATCACTTTTTATCCTCAAGCAGTCTGAACAAATTGGGTCATTAAAATATCTTAGCTTAAGTGCTACATTGTGCTGGCATGTTTCATAAGGTTGCATAAATTCTGTCATTCTGCATCCCATAACTCATGTAGCGTAAGAAATGCCATGTGGTGGATTTAATCATGTATCCACTACTGACAGTGGCCTGGCAAAGCTTAATGAGCATGTCTTTGGTAAAAACTACTTATAAAAGTTTGGAAATGAAGGTTCTCAAATTTTCTTTAAAGATTATTTTCTTGTTTGAGTTTTTTCATATTTTTTCGCATGGTCTCTACTATCACAATATTAAAATGAATTCCTGAAAGAAAACTGACTTTAAGCAAAGGTACACTCTAAGTTCTACATTTTCACTTATGCCGGAATGACCAGCTAACTTCTACTTTAACCTCACTTAGCTATTTTGCTGTAGACTATTCATGTAACTAAAAAGGTAACTAAAAGAAAGGTAGAAAAATTAGGAAAAGCATTATTATGCCTCTGTCTAGCTTTTATTCTCATTAGAATATTTTTTTTTTTTTTTTTTTTGAGACGGAGTCTCGCTCTGTCGCCCAGGCTGGAGTGCAGTGGCGGGATCTCGGCTCACTGCAAGCTCCGCCTCCCGGGTTCACGCCATTCTCCTGCCTCAGCCTCCCAAGTAGCTGGGACTACAGGCGCCCGCCACTACGCCCGGCTAATTTTTTGTATTTTTAGTAGAGACGGGGTTTCACCGTTTTAGCCGGGATGGTCTCGATCTCCTGACCTCGTGATCCGCCCGCCTCGGCCTCCCAAAGTGCTGGGATTACAGGCGTGAGCCACCGCGCCCGGCCCTCATTAGAATATTTTTATTGAATTACACAGTGTTCAACTTTCGAAAACTAGATTTCCAGAAATCAGCTTGCAAGTCTGTTTGCTGGAAGATACAATGCATTTGCTCATAAAAATGGTATTATAAATGCAGATAGGTACCCAGGTTAGCCCAATAAACTCATTCATACTCATTTATATTGATGCCATATCACGTATTTACAAGAAAAAATTTAGTAAAAAATTCCATTGCCATATTAGCATTTATGTAAGTAATTTAATCTCCCATCTCTGAAATTTATTAAGAAAGGTTTTCATTTTTACTAAATGGTGAATGAAAAGCACAGCAGAAACCAGATTTAATTAAGGACTGAAAATATAGATGAGTACCGTGGTGGAGATTCTGAAGGGAAATTTGGGCCCTTTGCAGGACTTCCTTCTTCTTCTTTTTTTTTTTATTATATTTTAAGCTCTAGGGTACATGTGCACAACATGCAGCTTTGTTACATATGCATACATGTGCCATGTTGGTGTGCTGCACCCATTAACTCATCATTTACATTAGGTATATCCCCTAATGCTATCCCTCCCCCCACCCCCACCCCACAACAGGCCCCGGTGTGTGATGTTCCCCTTCTGTGTCCAAGTGTTCTCATTGTTCAATTCCCACCTATGAGTGAGAACACGCGTGTTTGGGTTTTTGTCCTTGCGATACTTTGCCAAGAATGAAGGTTTCCAGCTTCATCCATGTCCCTACAAAGGACATGAACTCATCCTGTTTTATAGCTGCATACTATTCCATGGTGTATATGTGCCACATTTTCTTAATCCAGTCTATCATTGATGGACATTTGGGTTGGTTCCAAGTCTTTACTATTGTGAATAGTGCCGCAATGAACATACGTGTGCGTGTGTCCTTATAGCAGCATGATTTATAATCCTTTGGGTACATACCCAGTAATGGGATGGCTGGGTCAAATGGTATTTCTAGTTCTAGATCCTTGAGGAATCACCACACTGTCTTCCACAATGGTTGGACTACTTTACAGTCCCACTAACAGTGTAAAAGTGTTCCTATTTCTCCACATCCTCTCCAGCACCTGTTGTTTCCTGACTTTTTAATGATTGCCATTCTAACTGGTGTGAGATGGTATCTCATTGTGGTTTTGATTTGCATTTCTCTGATGGCCAGTGATGATGAGCATTTTTACATGTGTCTGTTGGCCGCATAAATGTCTTCTTTTGAGAAGTGTCTGTTCATATCCTTCACCCACTTTTTGATGGGGTTGTTTGTTTTCTTCTTGTAAGTTTGTTTGAGTACTTTGTAGATTCTGGATATTAGCCCTTTGTCAGATGAGTAGATTGCAAAAATTTTCTCCCATTCTGTAGGTTGCCTGTTCACTCTGATGGTAGTTTCTTTTGCTGTGCAGAAGCTCTTTAGTTTAATTAAATCTCATTTGTCAATTATGGCTTTTGTTGCCATTGCTTTTGGTGTTTTAGACATGAAGTCCTTGCCCATGCCTATGTCATGAATGGTATTGCCTAGGTTTTCTTCTAGGGTTTTTATGGTTTTAGGTCTAACATTTAAGTCTTTCATCCATCTTGAATTAATTTTTGTATAAGGTGTAAGGAAGGGATCCAGTTTCAGCTTTCTACATATGGCTAGCCAGTTTTCCCAGCACCATTTATTAAATAGGGAATCCTTTCCCCATTGCTTGTTTTTCTCAGGTTTGTCAAAGATCAGATGGTTGTAGATGTGTGGTACTATTTCTGAGGGCTCTGTTCTGTTCCATTAGTCTATATCTCTGTTTTGGTACCAGTACCATGCTGTTTTGGTTACTGTAGCCTTGTAGTATAGTTTGAAGTCAGGTAGTGTGATGCCTCCAGCTTTGTTCTTTCGGCTTAGGATTGACTTGGCAATGGGGACACTTTTTTGGTTCCATATGAACTTTAAAGTAGTTTTTTCCAATTCTGTGAAGAAAGTCATTGGTAGCTTGATGGGGATGGCATTGAATCTGTAAATTACCTTGGGCAGTATGGCCATTTTCACGATATTGATTCTTCCTATCCATGAGCATGGAATGTTCTTCCATTTGTTTGTGTCCTCTTTTATTTCATTGAGCAGTGGTTTGTAGTTCTCCTTGAAGAGGTCCTTCACATCCCTTGTAAGTTGGATTCCTAGGTATTTTATTCTCTTTCAAGCAATTGTGAATGGGAATTCACTCATGATTTGGCTCTCTGTTTATCTGTTATTGGTGTATAAGAATGCTTGTGATTTTTACACATTGATTTTGTATCCTCAGATTTTGCTCAAGTTCCTTATCAGCTCAAGGAGATTTTGGGCTGAGACGATGGGGTTTTCTAAATATACAATCATGTCATCTGCAAACAGGGACAATTTGACTTCCTCATTTCCTAACTGAATACCCTTTATTTCTTTCTCCTGCCTGATTGCCCTGACCAGAACTTCCAACACTATGTTGAATAGGAGTGGTGAGAGAGGGCATCCCTGTCTTGTGCCAGTTTTCAAATGGAATGCTTCCACTTTTTGCCCATTCAGTATGATATTAGCTGTGGGTTTGTCATAAATAGCTCTTATTATTTTGAGATACGTCCCATCAATACCCAATTTATTGAGAGTTTTTACCATGAAGGGCTGTTGAATTTTGTCAAAGGCCTTTTCTGCATCTATTGAGATTATCATATGGTTTTTGTCATTGGTTCTGTTTATATGCTGGATTACGTTTATTGATTTGCATATGTTGAACCAGCCTTGCATCCCAGGGATGAAGCCCACTTGATCATAGTGGATAAGCTTTTTGATGTGCTGCTGGATTTCGTTTGCCAGTATGTTATTGAGGATATTTGCATCAATGTTCATCAGGGATATTGGTCTAAAATTCTCTTTTTTTGTTTTGTCTCTGCCCGGCTTTGGTATCAGGATGATGCTGGCCTCATCAAATGAGTTAGGGAGGATTCCCTCTTTTTCTATTGACTGGAATAGTTTCAGAAGGAATGGTACCAGCTCCTCCTTGTACCTCTGGTAGAATTCGGCTGTGAATCCATCTGGTCCTGGACTTTTTTTGGTTGGTAAGCTATTAATTATTGCCTCAATTTCAGAGCCTGTTATTGGTATATTCAGGGATTCAACTTCTTCCTGGATTAGTCTTGGGAGGGTGTATGTGTCCAGGAATTTATCCATTTCTTCTAGATTTTCTAGTTTATTTGCGTAGAGGTGTTTATAGTATTCTCTGATGGTAGTCTGTATTTCTGTGGGATTGGTGGTGATATCCCCTTTATCATTTTTTATTGCATCTATTTGATTCTTCTCTCTTTTCTTCTTTATTAGTCTTGCTAGCGGTCTATCAATTTTGTTGATCCTTTCAAAAAACCAGCTCCTGGATTCATTGACTTTTTGAAGGGTTTTTTGTGTCTCTATCTCCTTCAGTTCTGCTCTGATTTTAGTTATTTCTTGCCTTCTGCTAGCTTTTGAATGTGTTTGTTCTTGCTTCTCTAGTTCTTTTAATTGTGATGTCAGGGTGTCAATTTTAGATCTCTCCTGCTTTCTCTTGTGGGAATTTTGTGCTATAAATTTCCCTCTATACACTGCTTTAAATGTATCTCGGAGATGCTGGTATGTTGTGCCTTTGTTCTCATTGGTTTCAAAGAAAATCTTTCTTTCTGCCTTCATTTCGTTATGTACCCAGTAGTGATTCAGGAGCGGGTTGTTCAGTCTCCATGTAGTTGAGTGGTTTTGAGTGAGTTTCTTAATCCTGAGTCCTAGTTTGATTGCACTGTGGTCTGAGAGACAGTTTGTTATAATTTCTGTTCTTTTACATTTGGTGAGGAGTGCTTTACTTCCAACTATGTGGTCAATTTTTGGAATAAGTGTGATGTGGTGTGGAGAAGAATACATATTCTATTGATTGAGGGTGGAGAGTTCAGTAGATGTCTATTAGGTCCGCTTGGTGCAGAGGTGAGTTCAATTCCTGGATATCCTTGCTAACTTTCTGTCTCGTGGATCTGTCTAATGTTGACAGTGGGGTGTTAAAGTCTCCCATTATTATTATGTAGGAGTCTAAGTCTCTTTGTAGGTCTCTAAGGACTTGCTTTATGAATCTGGGTGCTCCTGTATTAGATGCATATATATTTAGGATAGTTAGCTCTTCTTGTTGAATTGATCCCTTTACCATTATGTAATGGCCTTCTTTGTCTCTTTTGATCTTTGTTGGTTTAAAGTCTGTTTTATCCAAGACTAGGATTGCAACCCCTGCCTTTTTTTATTTTCCATTTGCTTGGTAGATCTTCCTCCATCCCTTTATTTTGAGCCTATGTGTGTCTCTGCACGTTAGATGGGTCTCCTGAATAGAGCACACTGATGGGTCTTGACTCTTTATCCAATTTGGCAGCCTGTGTCCTTTAATTGGAGCACTTGGCCCATTTACATTTAAGGTTAATATTGTTATGCGTGAATTTGATCCTGTCATTATGATGTTAGCTGGTTACTTTGCTCGTTCATTGATGCAGTTTCTTCCTAGCATTGATGGTCTTTACAATTTGGCATGTTTTTGCAGTGGCTGGTACCGGTTGTTCCTTTCCATGTTTAGTGCTTCCTTCAGGAGCTCTTGTAGGTCAGGCCTGGTGGTGACAAAATCTCTCAGTATTTGCTTGTCTGTAAAGGATTTTACTTCTCCTTCACTTATGAAGCTTAGTTTGGCTGGATATGAAATTCTGGATTGAAAATTCTTTTCTTTAAGACTGTTAAAGGGGGGAGGATCCAAGATGGCCAAATAGGAACAGCTCCGGTCTACAGCTCCCAGTGTGAGCGACGCAGAAGACGGGTGATTTCTGCATTTCCATCTGAGATACCGGGTTCATCTCACTAGGGAGTGCCAGACAGTAGGCGCAGGTCAGTGGGTGCGCACACCTTGCGCGAGCCAAAGCAGGGCAAGGCATTGCCTCACTCGGGAAGTGCAAGGGGTCAGGGAGTTCCCTTTCCTAGTCAAAGAAAGGGGTGACAGGCAGCACCTGGAAAATCGGGTCACTCCCACCCAAATACTGTGCTTTTCCGACGGGCTTAAAAAACAGCACACCACGAGATTACATCCGGCACCTGGCTCGCAGGGTCCTACGCCCACAGAGTCTCGCTGATTGCTAGCACAGCAGTCTGAGATCAAACTGCAAGGCGGCAGCGAGGCTGGGGGAGGGGCGCCCACCATTGCCCAGGCTTGCTTAGGTAAACAAAGCAGCCTGGAAGCGCGAACTGGGTGGAGCCCACCACAGCTCAAGGAGGCCTGCCTGCCTCTGTAGGCTCCACGTCTGGGGGCAGGGCACAGACAAACAAAAAGACAGCATTAACCTCTGCAGACTTAAATGTCCCTGTCTGACAGCTTTGAAGAGAGCAGTGGTTCTCCCAGCACGCAGCTGGAGATCTCAGAATGGACAGACTGCCTCCTCACGTGGGTCCCTGACCCCTGACCCCCAAGCAGCCTAACTGGGAGGCACCCCACAGCAGGGGCAGACTGACACCTCACAGGGCCCAGTACTCCAACAGATCTGCAGCTGAGGGTCCTGTCTGTTAGAAGGAAAACTAACAAACAGAAAGGACATCCACACCAAAAACCCATCTGTACATCACCATCATCAAAGACCAAAAGTAGATAAAACCACAAAGATAGGGAAAAAACAGAGCAGAAAAACTGGAAACTCTAAAAAGCAGAGCACCTCTCCTCCTCCAAAGGAACACAGTTCCTCACCAGCAACAGAACAAAGCTGGACGGAGAATGACTTTGACGAGCTGAGAGAAGAAGGCTTCAGACGATCAAATTACTCCGAGCTACAGGAGGACATTCAAACCAAAGGCAAAGAAGTTGAAAACTTTGAAAAAAATTTAGAAAAATGTATAACTAGAATAACCAATACAGAGAAGTGCTTAAAGGAGTTGAGGGAGCTGAAAACCAAGGCTCAAGAACTACATGAAGAATGCAGAAGCCTCAGGAGCTGGTGTGATCAACTGGAAGAAAGGGTATCAGTGATGGAAGATGAAATGAATGAAATGAAGCAAGAAGGGAAGTTTAGGGAAAAAAGAATAAAAAGAAACAAGCAAAGCCTCCAAGAAATATGGGACTATGTGAAAAGACCAAATCTACATCTGATTGGTGTACCTGAAAGTGACGGGGAGAATGGAACCAAGTTGGAAAACACTCTGCAGGATATTATCCAGGAGAACTTCCCCAATCTAGCAAGGCAGGCCAACGTTCAGATTCAGGAAATACAGAGAATGCCACAAAGATACTCCTTGAGAAGAGCAACTCCAAGACACATAATTGTCAGATTCACCAAAGTTGAAATGAAGGAAAAAATGTTAAGGGCAGCCAGAGAGAAAGGTCGGGTTACCCTCAAAGGGAAGCCCATCAGACTAACAGCGGATCTTTTGGCAGAAACTCTACAAGCCAGAAGAGAGTGGGGGCCAATATTCAACATTCTCGAAGAAAAGAATATTCAACCCAGAATTTCAAATCCAGCCAAACTAAGCTTCATCAGTGAAGGAGGAATAAAATCCTTTACAGACAAGCAAATGCTGAGAGATTTCATCACCACCAGACCTGCCCTAAAAGAGCTCCTGAAGGAAGTGCTAAACATGGAAAGGAACAACCGGTACCAGCCGCTGCAAAATCATGCCAAAATGTAAAGACCATCGAGACTAGGAAGAAACTGCATCAACTAACGAGCAAAATCACCAGCTAACATCATAATGACAGGATCAAATTCACACATAACAATATTAACTTTAAATGTAAATGGACTAAATGCTCCAATTAAAAGACACAGACTGGCAAATTGGATAAAGAGTCAAGACCCATCAGTGTGCTGTATTCAGGAAACCCATCTCATGTGCAGAGACACACATAGGCTCAAAATAAAGGGATGGAGGAAGATCTACCAAGCCAATGGAAAACAAAAAAAGGCAGGGGTTACAATCCTAGTCTCAGATAAAACAGACTTTAAACCAACAAAGATCAAAAGAGACAAAGAAGGCCATTACATAATGGTAAAGGGATCAATTCAACAAGAAGAGCTAACTATCCTAAATATATATGCACCCAATACAGGAGCACCCAGATTCATAAAGCAAGTCCTGAGTGACCTACAAAGAGACTTAGACTCCCACACATTAATAATGGGAGACTTTAACACCCCACTGTCAACATTAGACAGATCAACGAGTCAGAAAGTCAACAAGGATACCCAGGAATTGAACTCAGCTCTGCACCAAGCGGACCTAATAGACATCTACAGAACTCTCCACCCCAAATCAACAGAATATACATTTTTTTCAGCACCACACCACACCTATTCCAAAATTGACCACATACTGGGAAGTAAAGCTCTCCTCAGCAAATGTAAAAGAACAGAAATTATAACAAACTATCTCTCAGACCACAGTGCAATCAAACTAGAACTCAAGATTAAGAATATCACTCAAAACCACTCAACTACATGGAAACTGAACAACCTGCTCCTGAATGATTACTGGGTACATAAAGAAATGAAGGCAGAAATAAAGATTTCTTTGAAACCAATGAGAACAAAGACACAACATACCAGAATCTCTGGGACACATTCAAAGCAGTGTGTAGAGGGAAATTTATAGCACTAAATGCCCACAAGAGAAAGCAGGAAAGATCCAAAATTGACACCTTAACATCACAACTGAAAGAACTAGAAAAGTAAGAGCAAACACATTCAAAAGCTAGCAGAAGGCAAGAAATAACTAAAATCAGAGCAGAACTGAAGGAAATAGGGACACAAAAAACCCTTCAAAAAATTAATGAATCCAGGAGCTGGTTTTTTGAAAGGATCAACAAAATTGATAGACTGCTAGCAAGACTAATAAAGAAAAAAAGAGAGAAGAATCAAATAGATGCAATAAAAAATGATAAAGGGGATATCACCACCAATCCCACAGAAATACAAATTACCATCAGAGAATACTATAAACACCTCTACTCAAATAAACTAGAAAATCTAGAAGAAATGGATAAATTCCTCGACACATACACTCTCCTAAGACTAAACCAGGAAGAAGTTGACTCTCTGAATAGACCAATAACAGGATCTGAAAATGTGGCAATAATCAATAGCTTACCAACCAAAAAGAGTCCAGGACCAGATGGATTCACAGCTGAATTCTACAAGAGGTACAAAGAGGAACTGGTACCATTCCTTCTGAAACTATTCCAATCAATAGAAAAAGAGGGAATCCTCCCTAACTCATTTGATGCGGCCAGCATCATGCTGATACCAAAGCCGGACAGAGACACAATAAAAAAAGAGAATTTTAGACCAATATCCTTGATGAACATTGATGCAAAAATCCTCAATAAGATACTGGCAAACCGAATCCAGCAGCACATTAAAAAGCTTATCCACCATTATCAAGTGGTCTTCATCCCTGGGATGCAAGGCTGGTTCACTATATACAAATCAATAAATGTAATCCAGCATAAACAGAACCAATGACAAAAACCACATGATTATCTCAATAGATGCAGAAAAGGCCTTTGACAAAATTCAACAACAATTCATGCTAAAAACTCTCAATAAATTAGGTATTGATGGGACGTATCTCAAAATAATAAGAGCTATCTATGACAAACCCACAGCCAATATCATACTGAATGGGCAAAAACTGGAAGCATTCCCTTTGAAAACTGGCACAAGACAGGGATGCCCTCTCTCACCACTCCTATTCAACATAGTGTTGGAAGTTCTGGCCAGGGCAATTAGGCAGGAGAAGGAAATAAAGGGTATTCAATTAGGAAAAGAGGAAGTCAAATTGTCCCTGTTTGCAGACGACATGATTGTATATTTAGAAAACCCCATTGTCTCAGCCCAAAATCTCCTTAAGCTGATAAGCAACTTCAGCAAAGTCTCAGGATACAAAATCAATGTACAAAAATCACCAGCATTCTTATACACCAATAACAGATAAACAGAGAGCCAAATCATGAGTGAACTCCCATTCACAATTGCTTCAAAGAGAATAAAATACCTAGGAATCCAACTTACAAGGGATGTGAAGGACCTCTTCAAGAAGAACTACAAACCACTGCTCAATGAAATAAAAGAGGATACAAACAAATGGAAGAATATTCCATGCTCATGGGTAGGAAGAATCAATATCGTGAAAACGGCCATACTGCCCAAGGTAATTTACAGATTCAATGCCATCCCCATCAAGCTACCAATGACTTTCTTCACAGAATTGAAAAAAACTACTTTAAAGTTCATATGGAACCAAAAAAGAGCCCGCATTGCCAAGTCAATCCTAAGCCAAAAGAACAAAGCTGGAGGCATCATGCTACCTGACTTCAAACTATGCTACAAGGCTACAGTAACCAAAACAGCATGGTACTGGTACCAAAACAGAGATATAGATCAATGGAACAGAAGAGAGCCCTCAGAAATAATGCCGCATATCTACAACTATCTGATCTTTGACAAACCTGAGAAAAACAAGCAATGGGGAAAGGATTCCCTATTTAATAAATGGTGCTGGGAAAACTGGCTAGCCATATGTAGAAAGCTGAAACTGGATCCCTTCCTTACACCCTGTAAAAAAATCAATTCAAGATGGATTAAAGACTTAAATGTTAGACCTAAAACCATAAAAACCCTAGAAGAAAACCTAGGCATTACCATTCACGACATAGGCATGGGCAAGGGCTTCATGTCTAAAACACCAAAAACAATGGCAACAAAAGCCAAAATTGACAAATGGGATCTAATTAAACTAAAGAGCTTCTGCACAGCAAAAGAAACTACCATCAGAGTGAACAGGCAACCTACAAAATGGGAGAAAATTTTCACAACCTACTCACCTGACAAAGGGCTAATATCCAGAATCTACAATGAACTCAAACAAATTTACAAGAAAAAAACAAACAACCCCATCAAAAAGTGGGTGAAGGACATGAACAGACACTTCTCAAAAGAAGACATTTATGCAGCCAAAAAATACATGAAAAAATGCTCACCATCACTGGCCATCAGAGAAATGCAAATCAAAACCACAATGAGATACCATCTCAAACCAGTTAGAATGGCAATCATTAAAAAGTCAGGAAACAACAGGTGCTGGAGAGGATGTGGAGAAATAAGAACACTTTTACACTGTTGGTGGGACTGTAAACTAGTTCAACCATTGTGGAAGTCAGTGTGGCAATTCCTCAGGGATCTAGAACTAGAAATACCATTTGACCCAGCCATCCCATTACTGGGTATATACCCAAAGGACTATAAATCATGCTGCTTTAAAGACACATGCACACGTATGTTTATTGCGGCACTATTCACAATAGCAAAGACTTGGAACCAACCCAAATGTCCAAAAATGATAGACTGGATTAAGAAAATGTGGCACATATACACCATGGAATACTATGCAGCCATAAAAAATGATGAGTTCATGTCCTTTGTAGGGACATGGATGAAATTGGAAATCATCATTCTCACTAAACTATCACAAGAACAAAAAACCAAACACTGCATATTCTCACTCATAGATGGGAATTGAACAATGAGAACACATGGACACAGGAAGGGGAACATCACACTCTGGGGACTGTTGTTGGGTGGGGGGAGGGGGGAGGGATAGCATTGGGAGATATACCTAATGCTAGATGACGAGTTAGTGGGTGCAGCACACCAGCATGGCACATGTATACATATGTAACTAACCTGCACATTGTGCACATGTACCCTAAAACTTAAAGTATAATAATAATAAATAAATAAATAAATAAATAAATAAAAGAATGTTGAATATTGGCCCCCACAGTCTTCTGGCTTGTAGAGTTTCTGCCGAAAGATCCGCTGTTAGTCTGATGGGCTTCCCTTTGTGGGTAACCCGACCTTTCTCTCTGGCTGCCCTTAACATCTTTTCCTTCATTTCAACTTTGGTGAATCTGACAATTATGTGTCTTGGATTTGCTCTTCTCGAGGAGTGTCTTTGTGGCGTTCTCTGTATTTCCTGAATCTGAATGTTGGCCTGCCTTGCTAGGTTGGGGAAGTTCTCCTGGATAATATCCTGCAGAGTGTTTTCCAACTTGGTTCCATTCTCCCCATCACTTTCAGGTACACCAGTCAGATGTAGGTTTGGTCTTTTCTCATAGTCCCATATTTCTTAGTGGCTTTGTTCATTTCTTTTTACTCTTTGTTCTCTAAACTTCTCTTCATGCTTCATTTCATTCATTTGATCTTCAATCACTGATATCCTTTCTTCCGGTTGATCGAATCAGCTACTGAAGCTTGTGCATTCATCACATAGTTCTCTTGCCATGGTTTTCAGCTCCATCAGGTCATTTAAGGACTTCTCTACACTGGTTATTCTAATTAGCCATTCATCTAATCTTTTTTCAAGGTTTTTAGCTTCTTTGTGATGGGTTCGAACCTCCTCCTTTAGCTCAGAGAAGTTTGATTGTCTGAAGCCTTCTTCTGTCAACTCATCAAAGTCATTCTCTGTCCAGCTTTGTTCCATTGCTGGTGAGGAGCTGCATTCCTTTGGAGGGGGAGAGGCACTCTGATTTGTAGAATTTTCAGCTTTTATGCCCTGTTTTTTCCCCATCTTTGTGGTTTTATCTACCTTTGGTCTTTGATGATGATGACATACAGATGGGGTTTTGATGTGGATGTCCTTTCTGTTTATTAGTTTTCCTTCTAACAGTCAGGACCCTCAGCTGCAGGTCTGTTGGAGTTTGCTGGAGGTCTACTCCAGACCCTGTTTGCCTGGGTATCAGCAGTGGAGGCTGTAGAACAGTGAATATTGCTGAACAGCAAATGTTGCTGCCTGATCGTTCCTCTGGAAGCTTCATCTCAAAGGGGTACCCAGCCATGTGAGGTGTCAGTCTGCCCCTACTGGGGAGTTTCTCCCAGTTAGGCTACTTGGGGGTCAAGGACCCACTTGAGGAGGCAGTCTGACCATTCTCAGATCTCAAACTCCATGCTGGGAGAACTACTACTCTCTGCAAAGCTGTCAGACAGGGACGTTTAAGTCTGCAGAGGTTTCTGCTGCCTTTTGTTTGGCTATGCTCTGCCCCCAGAGGTGGAGTCTACAGAGGCAGGCAGGCCTCCTTGAGCTGCAGTGGGCTGAACCCAGTTCGAGGTTCCTGGCAGCTTTGTTTACCTACTCAAGCCTCAGCAATGGCGGGAGCCCCTCCCCCAGCCTCTCTGCCACCTTGCAGTTCTATCTCAGACAGCTATGCTAGCAATGAGTGAGGCTCTGTGGGCGTGGGACCTTCTGAGCCAGGCATGGGATATAATCTCCTGGTGTGCCATTTGCTAAGACTATTGGAAAAGCACAGTATTAGGGTGGGAGTGACCCAATTTTCCAGGTGCCGTCTGTCACAGCTTCCCTTGGCTAGGAAAGGGAATTCCCTGACCCCTTGCACTTCCCGGGTGAGGCGATGCCTCACCCTGCTTCAGCTCATGCTCAGTGGGCTGCACCCACTGTCCTTCACCCACTGTCTGACAAGCCCCAGTGAGACAAGCCCGGTACCTCAGTTGGAAATGCAGAAATCACCCGTCTTCTGCGTCTCTCACACTGGGAGCTGTAGACTGGAGCTCTTCCTATTTGGCCATCTTGGAACCGCCATTTCCATGTATTTTTGTAGCTATTGTAAATGGGATTGCCTTCTTGATTTGTTTCTCAGCTAGTTCATTATTAGTATATAGAAATGCTACTCATTTTTGTTTGTTGATTTTGTATTCTACAATTTCACCAAATGTATTGAATCTAAGAGTTTTTTGGGAGAGTCTTAAGGTTTTTCTATATATAAGATCATATCATGTGCAAAGAGGGCAAAGAAGGACAATTTGACTTCCTCTTTTCCAGTTTAGATGCCTGTTATTTCTTCCTCTTGCTTGATTGCTCTGGGTAGGACTTCTAGACTATGTTGAATAGGAGTGGTAAAAGTTATTCCTGTTCTTAGAGGAAAGGCTATCAGCTTTTCTCCATTCCATAAAATATTAGCTGTGGGTTTGTCACATATGGCCTTTAGTATGTTGAGGTATGTTCCTTGTATGTCTAGTTTTTTGAGCATTTTTGTCATAAAGGGTTAATTTTATCAAATGCTTTTTCTGCATCTACTGAGATTATCATATGATTTTTGTCCTTCATCTGTTGATGTGATGTATCATGTTTGTTTATTTCTGTATATTGAACCATTCATGCATCTCTAGGATAACTCCCACTTGATCATGATATACTATATTTTTGATGTGCTGTTGGTTTCAATTTGTTAGTATTCTGTTGAGGGTTGTGTGGTCTCTGTTCATCAGGGATATTGGCCTGTAGTTTTCCCTTTTTTTTTTTTTTTTTTGTTGTTGTTGTTGTTGAGTCTTTGTCTGGTTTTGGTATAAGGGTAAATGCTCACCTCATAGAATGAGTTAGGGAGAATTCCCTCCTCTTCAATTTTTTGGAACAGTTTGAGGAAAATTAGTGTTAGTTCTTTTTTGAAAGTTTGGTAGAATTCAGCAGTAAATCCTTCCTGTCCAGGACTTTTCTTTGTTGGGAGACTTTTGATTACTGATTCAATCCCATTACACATTATTGGTCTGTTCAGATTTTCTATTTCTTCCTCAGTTAATCTTGGTAGGTTATATGTGTTCAGGAATTTATCAATTTCCTCTTGGTTTTCCAGTTTGTTAGTGTAGTTGTTCATAATATTATCTAATGATCATTTATATTTCTTTGGTATCAGTTGAAATGACTCCTTTTTCATTTCTGATTTTATTTGGGTCTTATCTCTTTTTGTTTGGTTAGTCTAGCTAGCAGTTTATCAATTTTGTTTATCTTTTCAAACAATTTTTCATTTTGTTGACTCTTATTTGATTTTAGTCTCTGTTTTGTTTATTTCTTATCTGATCTTTATTATTTCTTTCCTTCTACTAAATTGGGATTTTGTTTCTTCTCGATTTTCTAGTTCCTTGAGGTGCATTAGATTATCTATTTGAAATCTTTCTACTTTTCTGATGAAAGCATTTATTGCTATAAACTTTCCTCTTAGCACTGCTTTGGCTATATCCCACAGGTCTTGGTATGTTGTATTTTGATTTTCACATGTTTAAATAAATTTTTTCTTTCCTCCTTAATTTCTTCCTTGACCAGTGGTCATGCAGGAGCATGTTGTTTAATTTCCATGTATTTTGTACAGTTTCCAAAGTTCTTCTTATTATTGGTTCTTAGTTTTACTCCACTGTGGTCTAAGATACTTAATATGATTTTAATTTTTTATTTTTAACTATTATGAATACATAATAGTTGTACATATTTACAGAATACACATGATATTTTGATACAAGCATACAATGTATAACTGTCAAATCAGAGTAATTGTGGTATCCATCATCTCAAGCATTTACCATTCCTTTTTTTTTTTTTTTTATTCAGATGGAGTTTCATTCTATCACCCAGGCTGGAGTGCAGTGGTGCAATCTCAGCTCACTGCAACTTCCATCTCCCGAGTTCAAGCAATTCTCCTGCCTCAGCCTCCTGAGTAGCTGGAACTACAGGCATGGGCAACCACACCCAGTTAATTATTTTGTACTTTTAGTAGAGACAGGGTTTCACCATGTTGGTCAGGCTGGTCTCGAACTCCTGACCTCAAATGATCTGCCCACCTTGGCCTCCCAAAGTACTGGGATTAGAGGTATGAGCCACCATGCCCAGCCACAAGCATTTATCATTTCTTTGATAGGAACATTCCAGTTCTACTCTTTAAGTTATTTTTGAAATATACAATAAATTATTACTAACTATCGTTGCCCTACTGTGCTACCAAGCACTACATCTTTTTCCTCCTATCCAACCATATTTTTATACCCATTAACTAACCTCTTCTCATCTCCCCTTCCCAGCCTCTAGTAACTATCAATCAACTCTCTACCTCGATGAGATCCACTTTTTGAGCTCTCACACATGAGCAAGAACATGCAGTATTTGTCTTTCTGTGCCTGGATTATTTCGCTTAATATAATGTCCTTAAGTTCCATCCATATTGTTGCAAATGATAGGATTTCATTCTTTTAATGGCTGAATAATATTCCATTGTGTTATATACCACATTTTCTTCATCCATTCATCTGTTGATGGATACTTAAGTTGATTCCATATCTTGGCTGTTGTGAATAGTGCTGCAATAAACATGAAGATGCAGATATCTCTTCAATATACTGATTTCCTTTCTTTTAGATATACACCCAGCAGTGGGATTGCTGGATTGTGTGTCAGTTCTTTTTGGTTTTTTTGAGGAACCTTCATACTCTTCTCCATTGTGGATGTACTAATTTACATGCCCTCCAACAGTATAGGATTCCCCCTTCTCCACATCCTCACCAGCATTCATTATTGCCTGTCTTTTGGATAAAAGTCATCTTAATTGCAGTGAGATGATATCTCACTATAGTTTTAATTTGCATTTTCCTGAGGATTAGTGATGTGGAGATTTTCATACACCTGTTGACCATTTGTATGTCTTCTTCTGAGAAATGCCTATTCAAATTTTACTATTGAGTTGTTTAAGTTCCTTATATATCCTGGTTATTAATCTTTGTCAGACAGGTGGTTTGCAAATATTCTCTCCCATTCTGTATATTAGCTTTTCACTTTGTTAGTTGATTCCTTTGCTGTACAGAAACTTTTTAGCTTGATGTGACCTGTTTGTCCATTTTTGTTTTGTTTGCCTGTGCTTTCGAGGTCTTACTCAAGAAATCTTCACCCAGACCAATGTCCTGGAGTGTTTCTCTAATGTTTTCTTTTAGACATTTCATAGTTTGAGGTCTTAGATTTAAGTCTTCAATCCATTTTTATTTGACTTTTGTATATGGTAAGAGACAGGGATCTTGTTTCATTCTTCTGCATATGCACCTCCAGTTTTCCCAGCACCATTTGTTGAAAAGACTGTCCTTTTCCCAATGTTTGTTCTTAGCACTTTTGTCAAAAATGAGTTGACTGTAAATGTAAGAATTTATTTCTAGGTTCTCTATTCTGTTCCATTGGTCTATGTTTCTATGTCCACACGATGCTGTTTTGGTTACTACTGCTTTGTAGTATAATTTGAAGTCAGGTAATGTGATGCTTCCAGCCTTGTTATTTTTGCTCAGGATTGCTTTGGCTATTCTGGGTCTTTTGTGGTTCCATATAGATTTTAGGATTTTTTTCTATTTCTGTGAAGAATGTCATTGGTATTTTGACAGACATTTCATTGAATCTGTAGATTGCTTTGGTTAGTATGAACATTTTGACAATACTGATTCTTCCAATTCACAAACATGGAATCTCTTTCCATTTTTTTGTGCCCTCTTCAATTTCTTTCATCAATGTTTCATAGTTTTCATTGTAGAGATGTTTCATTGCTTTGGTTAAGTTTATTCCTAAGAATTTAGTTCTACTTGTAGCTACTGTAAATGGATTATTTTCTTGGTTTCTTTTTCAGACTGCTTGCAGTTGACATAAAGAAATGCTACTGATTTTTGTATGTTGATTTTGTATCCTGAAACTGTACTAAATTTGTTTATCAGTTCTAATAGTTTTTTGGTAGAGTCTTTAGGTTTTCCTAGATTTTTTTCTTTAGGTTTTTTTAGTTTTGCAGATGATACGATATCTGAGATCATATCTAAAATCATATCATCTGCAAACAAAGATAATTTGGATTATTATTCCTTTCCACTTTGGATGCCTTTTATTTATTTCTCTTGTTTAATTGCTCTAGGTAGGACTTCTAGTATTAGAAAGTCCATGGGCCAGGCGCGGTGGCTGACATTTCTAATCCCAGTACTTTGGGAGACTGAGGCCAGTGGATAATGAGGTCAGGAGTTTAAGACCAGCCTGACCAATATGGTGAAACCCCGTCTCTACTAAAAAAAAATAGTGGTGGTGTGCACCTGTAGTCCCAGCTACTCGGGAGACTGAGGCAGAAGAATCACTTGAACCTCGGAGGTGGAGGTTGCAGTGAACTGAGATCACACCACTGCACTCCAGCCTGGGTGACAGAGTGAGATTCCATCTCAAAAAAAAAAAGAAAGAAAGAAAGTCCATGGTTGGAATGTGGAGTCCTGTGGGTCTCTCACTTTACCTGCATTGGGAACCCTCTCCCAGGCTCCCATCTGATCCCAACTGAGCAGGCTGCCTCACTTCCCTCTCCTTCCTTGCTTTAGGTGTTTCCTGTCACTTCTTTGCTGAATTCCAGCATTCTCTCATAGATGATCTATTTGAAGTGTGATTATCTGCTCACTATTTTGGTTCTTCTTTGTGGGGTAGGCCAGTAGCAGGTGCCTCTAGTTAGCTATCTTGAAGCCTTTCCAGTGGTGTTTTCTAATCTAATTTAGGAAATACTATCACAGTCAATGTCATCCAAATCTGTTTTCCAGCATTTTTCTCTTCCTTCCTGCTGACTCTACATCCTGGGGGAAATGGCAGGATTGCAAACCAGCCACTGACCCACTAACTCTGAAGGTGGTTCTGAGCCTGCAGAAAACTCAGGTATCCTTGCCATGTCATGTGGTGGGAGCCACACGCTCTCTCCAGCTCTCTCAGCTCCACCACTCCACAGTTGTTTCCCACTCAGCTATTGTACTGTAAAACTGTCAGCCCCCAGTCTTTGTGAGAGTTCCTGGCAAGAAATACGTGCAGCCCCATGTTCTAGAATCACTCTTTAAACCCCGTGGAACACTCTCCTGGGACCCCTTGGGCTGGTGAGGGTTGCAGAGAGAACAGGTCGAGTACCCTCCATACCCCCTGCAGAAAGGAGAAAGGGTAAGGGACCAGGTGTCTAATGTAACACTCCATGAACTCTGCTGTCTCAAAGAAGCCTCTTCTGCTGGCTTTGTATTTCCCCTCCAGACCAGAGGAAGATGAACCAGTTCTTCTGGGACCACACTCATTTTGGCTCACACTTGGCAAACTGCCATTGGGTCTGGACTTGGGTAATACATGGGTGGATGGTCACAAGAGAAGGAAAGCTCAACTTGTGGTTTGATGTTTCAAGTTATTTCTACACATAAATATATCATACATGATACCTCCACAACTTGATCTTTGGAGGTCAAACTCGTGACTCATCTCTTGTTCCTCAAAATGTCCCCTATACTGAAAGCCTAATTAGGACTTTGTGAAGACTGAATGTATGAACTATAAACCAATAATTTGTAAAGTTCCTGACTGTCTTTCTTCCAGAACTTTGAAAAGTTTTGAAATCCATAATAGTTTTTTTAAGTGTAAGTCAATGTTATTACAGAATGACAATTTTTGTTACATCTTTTGAACTGGTACACTCATGGAGTGTGGGAACTTCTCTTACTTTGCAACAATACATCATAACAGATATGACTATGGCCATTACTGTCACAAAGTCATGGGTTTCAACCCGGTTCTGTCACTCACTGGCTGGAATCCTGAGTGAGGTTTTTAACCTCCCTGAGGCTCAGTTACCCCATCGGTAAAATGGAGATAGTAATACTTATTTCAGAGGAGTGTTGAAACAATTAATGTATGTTTAAAGCACTTAATAATATATAATATTATCAATCATAAAAAGAGCTCAATAAAGAGCCCATTATTGCTTCTCACTGCTTTATTTCTTACTTTCGTCTAATGATGTTACATTTTGCTTTTCTTGGACCCTGACTCCATAATCCAGGAAAATATACATTCCTGGCCAAGCAGGAGCTCTCCTTTGTGAGCATTCTTCACGCAAGTGTTGTAGAAGGACATTTAATTAAAAGACAGTAACAGAAACACTAGCCTCTGGAAACATTAAGCATCATCCCTGATTATGAAGAGCTAAGCAAGAAGCAGGAGGGTTATCAGGCCAGCCCCTGAGGGATCTCTAGCACCATAACCAACCTTTGCATATCAGGTATTTGGCAGCTCCCAATCTTATTATACCCACTGCAACATACGTGATGAATGGCATTCATGAGTAGCACCAAGATTAAGGGCTTTGGTACAGATGTTATGTGCTGCAGGTTGTGTACAATTTCCCCTTCTCCAACTCACTCGCATCTTTGAAGACTCACAGAAGTGCCAAAGAGACCCATGTCCTTGGATGACATCATCATGCAGATCACTTTGAATTTGCTATAATTTCTAACAAGCAATTCATTTTAAAACTTGGGTAACTGTTATTAATAATAAATTACTTGTGACACACCTCACAAAGGACATATCTTGATTGAGTACTGCTGCTCCCAAATGAGGGCTACCAGAGTTCAGTACAAATATTGAAGCTAAGTGTTAATTATTAGTAGAAGTTTCAGTGATCTCACCTATCCTAACACCTATATTCAGATAAATTTTTTTTGCCTGCCCCTTCTTCTGAGAAAACCTAGATCCAGTTATGTATTACATTTAATAATTCACTAAAAATGATTTTTCTTTTTAATTACCTATGTTTTTTCTTTAGTGACCCAAGGTGTTTAAAATGACAGCATGTTTTAGAGAATGTTTATTATATTTTCTTATCTTAAATATTCTTCATGTAGTTGTTCATGGTCATTTTGAATATTATGAGTAAACTGCCACCAAGCTTTGATTAAACAGTTTTTAATAATGCATGATTTATAAAGTGTCTTGTGTTAAAATATGTTTCCATTATTTTTCTTCATGTAGTATCATTAAGACAGAAATATTATAAATTCTTGCCAGCATATGTGCTTCTGTACAGTTCATATTTGTGACTACTTCTAGAATAATTACACAGAAAGTAAATGAAATTAAAGATACTTAATATAAATGGTTGCCATCAAAATATTCCACCCATATTAAAGTGTCTGTGGAGCTGGTGCTCATCTCAATGGGCTCCCAACAGATGGAGTGTTCCATTTGTCACATTACTTTGGAGCTTCAAAATGTGCCTGATGGGAATTCTATTACCTGCACCAGCTGTACAGGTGACCTCCTTGCCTTCCACTTGCCAGATTCAGAATATATGAGACATTTTTAAACATGATTTTAAAATACAGCATATGCAAATATGGCCAGACTTGACATACTTACTCCAGTGCCAAAAAAAAAGTCTGTCCTGTCTGCTTTAACCCCTGGACATACAGGATGTATGGTTTTCCATCTTCTGAAAGTCTTTCTACAAAAACGTAGTAATGCCTGTCAACATGAGGAGATATTTGTAAGGGTTTGTTTTGTTTTCAACACCTACAAATATGTTTTCTTTTATGTGAGAAAACTTTGTAAAGAGTTCTTATTTTCTTGCCAAATGTAAAATTAAATGATTAAATGAAGAATTTGAGAGACATGTGAAAAGTGTCCTCAACCCAGAAATATCTTCCTTCCCAGTGCCTGAAAGTTCTCCATTAGTGACACATTATATGGGGTTCAGCAATCTCAATCCAGGCATTTCCAGGCATTCTTTTTATAAAATGCAACAAGCAGAGACAGGATTGAAACCCTGTTTCATCTGCCTTAAAACGCTTGCTCTTTTCCCCTACAACATACTGTTTCCCCTGGATGGTCATCCGTAACAACATAAATGTGAATGAGCTTTTTTCCTAAGTGAGAAGAAATAAAGTAGCATCTGCAAACCCTGAGCAAGCAGAGTTGAAGACTCAGGAAAGGGGGAAAAGCATAGATGAGGAAACTGGGAAAAGACAAAAGAATAATGTCTACTTCAATTTTGCCTAGATTTAGCCATGACTAGAATCTGACTTCTATGAATTCTGTCTACAATGTAACATAGTGGTAACCTATCTTAAAGATCTCCTGTCACTGCAGAAACTCCACCCCATGGTCCCTATTCATATAACATGTATTACAATATATCAGATTGGACTGCATGGAGCCCAGAGAGTTTGGCATAGGAATGGTTGCAGTGGAGCATGGCCAGGGACATGTATCCCCAAGGCTCATCAGGCTCTTCTACGTGGATTTGGCCTTTCTTAACTGTTGGATTTGGACAGAACAGAGCTATCTTGCCCATGAGATGGGGCCAGTCTGATCTAAGCACCCTTCTATCTGCTGGCTTCTGCCAGGGGCCCTGCCTGGCTGCACCCACTTGTAGTGCAGCCTCAAGATGCCCAACCAGAGTGCTTCCCAGTGGTCACTGCTATAACTCTTTTGCAGGCAGATCTTGTCTAACCATTAGAAAGCTTCTGCAGATAGGCCCCCACCAGCACACACATACCCACAGCCACCCCCACCACCACCACTTTGCCAACATGCACTCACTCTCAGCCTCCCCCCACTGCTTTGACGGTACATGTGTCCACACGCAAACCCCATCATCCTACTGCTACTGACATGTACATGGGGACCCCACCATACCACTGCCACTAGTGCATGGGTGCAGACCCTACCACACAACCACCCTGCTATTGCTGGCTTGTGTATGTAAGCACAGGCTCTGCAGTCACTGCCCTGACAAAGTAGTTTTGCCAGCACCTTCTGCAGTCAGAGTGTTGTTACCAGAAGACCAGGAATATCTCAGCCCCTGCAGTCCTGTAGGTGCTTAACCTCAAGGGGATGGAGAACAAAGCCATGGACCTAGTCCCAGACCCCCAGGGTCACAGCACATAGTACAAGAATGCTGAGCTGAGCCTCGGCCCCCTGAAATCATCCAGAAACAAAGCCAGTCAGCTAAACCCAACTTATATTACCATCAAACCCTCAAGTGCATCAAAGAATATGAAAGCAAAAAGCCCCATCCAAAAAAAACAGCAACTTTAAAGATTAAAGAAACATGAGCCCAAACATATATATTTTTTTAAAGGCACAAAACTCTGAAACTCTAAAAGCTAGAAAACTAGAGTGTCTTCTTACCTCCAAATGACTTCACTAGGTCCCCAATAATGGTTCTTAACCAGACTCAAATGGCTGAAATGACAGACATAGAATTCAGAATCTGGATAGCAATTAAGAGCACTGAGATGCAGGAGAAAGATGAAACCCAATCCAGGGAATCTAAGGAATCCAGTAGAATTATTCAAGAGCTGAAAGATTAAACAGCCATTTTAAGAAAGAACCAAACTGATCTGATAGAGCTGAAAAACTTATTACAATAATTTTATAACATAATCAGAAGTATTAACAGCAGAATACACCAAGCTGAGGAAAGAATCTCAGAGCTCAAAGACCAGTTTTTCAAATAAATTCAGTCAGACAAAAATAATAAACAAAGAAGTTTTAAAAATGAACAAAATTTCTGAGAAATACGGAATTATATAAACAGACAAAACCTATAACTCATTGGCATCCCAAAAAGAGAGAAAGAGAGAACAAGCAACTTGGAAAACATATTTGAGAATACTGCCCATGAAAATGTCACCAGCCTTGCTACAGAAGTCAACATTCAAACTCAGGAAATTCAGAAAACCCCTATGAGATACTATATAAGATTACCATCCCCAGGAGACATAGTCATCAGATTCTCCAGGGTCAATGCAAAAGAAAAAATAGTAAATCTAGCCAGAGGGAAGAGGCTTTCATCTACAAAGGGAACTCCATCAGGGTAATAATAGACCTTTTAGTAGAACCCTACAAACCAGAAGAGATTGAGGGCCTATTTTCAGCAGCCTAAGAGAAAAAAAATGCCAACCAAGAATTTTATATCCACTCAAACTAAGCATCATAAGCAAAGGAGAAATAAAATCCTTTACAGACAAGCAAATGCTAAGAGAATTCATTGCCACCAAACTTGTCTTACAAGAGGTCCTTAAGGTCATGTCAAACATGGACAGGAAAGACCATTACCGGCCACCACAAAAATACACTTAAGTATATAACAACATGATGACAGGATAAAATCCACACATATCAATATTACCCTTGAACATAAATGGGCTAAACACCCCACTTAAAATGCACAGAGTGATATGCTGGATAAAGAAGCAGGACCCAAATGTATGCCGTCAAGAGACCCATCTCACATGCAATGACACCCATAAGCTCAAAGTAAATGGGTGGAGTAAAATTTCTCAAGCAAATGGAAACACAAAAGAATAGGAGTTGCTATTCTTATTTCAGACAAAACAGATTTTAATGACAATCAAAAGGAACAATGAAGGGCATTACATAATGATAAAGAGTTCAATTCAACAAGAAGACTGAACTGTCCCAAATATATATGCAGCCAATACTGGAGCGCCCAAATTCATAAAACAAGTTCTTAGAAAAGATTTGAAGACACTTAGATAACCACACAACAATAGCAGGAGACTTCAACAACCCACTGGCAGTATTAGGTGGATCATCAAGGCAGAAAGCTAACAAAGATATTTGGTACCTAAACTTGACACTTCACCAAATGGACCTAACAGATTATGGAACACTCAAGCCAACAGTAAAAGAATATACATTCTTTTCATCTAAACGTGGTACATATTCTAAAACTGACCACATGCCCAGCCATAAAGCAATTCTCAACAACTTTTTGAAAACCAAAATCACACCAACCACACTCTTGGAGCACAGCACAATAAAAATAGAATCAATAACAAGAAGATTTCTCAAAACCATACAATTACATGAAAATTAAACAATCTGGTTCTGAATGACTTTTGGGTAAAGAATGAAATTAAAGCAGAAATCAAGAAATTCTTTGAAATTAATATAAACAAAGATACAGCATACCAGAATCCCTGGAACAGTTAAAGCAGTGTTAAGAGGAAAGTTTGTGGTGCTAAATGCCCTCATCAAAAAGTTAGAAAGATCTCAAATTTACAACCTAACATCACACCTAGAGGAACTTTAAAAATAAGGAACTGACAAACCAACCCCAAAACTAGCAGAAGACAGGAAATAACCAAAATCAGACCTGAACTGAACAAAACAGAGATGTGAAAAACCATACAAAAGATCAACAAAATCAAAAGTGGTTCTTCTAAAGAATAAATAAGATAGATAGACTGCTAGCTAAACTAATTTAAAAAAGGAATATCCAAATAAACAGAATCAGAAATGACAGAGGGTACATTACTACCAACCCCATAGAAATACAAGAAACCCTCAGAGACTATTACAAACACCTCTATGCGCACAAACTAGGAAACCTAGAAGTGGATAAATTCCTGGAAACATACAACCTCCCAAGATTGAACCAGGAATAAATTAATACCCTGAACATACCAATAATGAGTTTCAAAACTGAATCAGTAATAAAAAGCCTACCAACCAGAAAAAGCCCTGAAAAAGACAGACTCACAGCCAAGCTCTACCAGGCATATAAAGAAGAACTGTATCAATCCTACTAAAACTATTCCAAAAAAAAAAAGTCAGGAGAAGGGACTCCTCCGTAACTCATTCTATGAGGCCAGCATCATTCTGAAACCAAAACCTGGCAGAGACAAAAAAATTTTTTAAAACTTTAGGCCAACACCCCTGATGAACATAGATGCAAAAATCCTCAACAAAATACTGCCAAATCCCATAAAAAAGGATGAGTCCATGTCCTTTGTAGGGACATGTATGAAGCTGGAAACCATCATTCTTAGCGCACTATCACAGGGACAAAAAAACCAAACACTGCATGTTCTCACTTATATGTGGAAATTGAACAATGAGAACACTTGGACACAGGAAGGGGAACATCACACACTGGGGCCTGTCATGGGGTGGGGGTTGGGGGGAGGGATAGCATTAGGGGATATACCTAATGTAATGACGAGTTAATGGGTGCAGCACACCAACATGGCACATGTATACACATGTAACAAACCTGCACATTGTGCACATGTACCCTAGAACTTAAAGTATAATAAAAAAATTTTTAAAAATACTGCCAAAACAAATCCAGCAGCTCATTAAAAAGATAATCCACCATGATCAAGTAGGCTTTATCCCTGGGATGCAAGGTTGGTTCAACATATGCAAATCAATAAATGTGATTCATCACCTAAACAGAACTAAAAACAAAAACCACATGATCATCTCAATAGACACAGGAAAGGCCTTCGATAAAATTCAACATCCCTTCAAGATAAAAACTGTCAACAAATTAGACATTGAAGGAACATACCTCAAAATAATAAATGCCATCTATGACAAATCCACAGCCAACATCATACTGAACAGGCAAAAGCTAGAAGCATTCCCCTTGAGAACTGGAACAGATAAGGATGCCCATTCCCACCACTCCTATTCAACACAGTTCTGAAAGTCCTAGCCAGAGCAATCAGGCAAGAGAAAGAAATAAAAGGCATCTAAATAGGAAGACGGGAAGTCAAACTATCTCTCTTCACAGATGATACAAATCTATACCTAGAAAACTCCATAGTCTCTGTCCAAAGGCTCCTAAATCTGATAAACAACTTCCTCAAAGCTTCATGACAAAAAATCAATGTATAAAAAATCAGTAGCATTTCTATACACCAACAATTTTTAAGCTGAGAGTCAAATCAAGAATGTAATCCAATTCACAATAGCCACAAAAATAAAATAAAATACCTGGGAATACAGCTAACGAGGGAAGTGACAGATCTCTACTATGAGAATTACAAAACACTACTGAAAGAAATCGGAGATGCCATAAACAAATGGGAAAACATTTCATGCTCATGTATAGGAAGAATATATGACCATATTGCTCGAAACAATTTACAGATTCAATGCTATTCCTATCAAACTACCAATGGACACTTTTCACAGAGTCAGAAAAAAACTATTCTAAAATGTATATAGAAACAAAAAAGAGCCTGAATAGCCAAAGCAAACTTAAGTAAAAAGAACAAAGTCAAAGGTATTATACTACCCAACTTCAAACTATACTACAAGGCTACAGTAATCAAAACAGCATGGTATTGGTACAAAAGCAGACACATAGAGCAATGGAACAGGTTAGAGAACCCAGAAATAAATCCACACACCTACAACCATCTGAGCATTGACAAAGTCAACAACAACAAGCAATGGGGAAAGGATTCCCTATTCAATAAATGATGCTGAGATAACTGGCAGCCATATGCAGAAGATTGAAACTAGATCCCTTCCTTTCACCGTATAAAAAAAATCAACTCAAGATGGATTAAAGACTTTAATGTAAAGTCTAAAGTTATAAAAATCCTAGAAGAAATCCTAGGAAATACCACTGTGGACATAGGCCCTAGCAAAGGTTCCATAACAAAGACACCAAAAGCAATTGCAACTAAAACAAAAATTGACAAGTGAGTCCTAATAAACCTTCTGCATAGCAAAATAGACTATCAACAGAGTAAACAGACAACCTACAGAATGGAAGAAAATATTTGCAAAGTTTGCATCTGACAAAGTTTTAATATCCAGAATCTATAAGGAGCAATTCAACATACAAAAAACAACCCCATTAAAAAGTGGGCAAAGGACATGAACAGAAACTTCTCAAAAGAAGACATACAAGCAGCCAACAAACATTTTCTTTTTATTATTATACTTTAAGTTCTAGGGTACATATGCACAATGTGCAGGTTTGTTACATATGTATACATGTGCCATGTTGGTGTGCTGCATGCATTAACTCATCATTTACATTAGGTATTTCTCCTAATACTATCTCTCCGCCCTCCCCCTACCCCACAACAGGCCCTGTTGTGTGATGTTCCCCAACCTGTGTCCAAGTGTTCTCATTGTTCAATTCCCACCTATGAGTGAGAACATGCGGTGTTTGGTTTTCTGTCCTTGCGATAGTTTGCTGAGAATGATGGTTTCCAGCTTCATCCATGTCCCTAAAAAGGACATGAACTCATCGTTTGTTACAGCTGCATAGTATTCCATGGTGTATATGTGCCATATTTTCTTAATCCAGTCTATCACTGATGGACATTTGGGCAGCCAACAAACATTTTGAAAAATGTTGCACATCACTAAACATTAGAGAAATGCAAATCAAGACAACAATGAGATACCATCTCACACCAGTCAAAATTGCAATTATTAAACAGTCAAAAAATAACAGATGCTGGCAAAGTTGCAGGGAAAAGGAAACAATTATACACTGCTGATGGGAATGCAAATTAGTTCAACCACTCTGGAAAGCAATTTGGAGATTTCTCAAAGAACTTAATGTTCTCACTCATAGGTGGGAATTGAACAATGAGAACACATGGACACAGGAAGGGGAACATCACACACTGGGGCCTGTTGTGGGGTGGGGGAAGTGGGGAGGGATAGCATTAGGAGATATACCTAATGTTAAATGATGAGTTAATGGGTGTGGCACACCAACATGGCACATGTATACATATGTAACAAACCTGCACGTTGTGCACATGTACCCTAAAACTCAAAGTATAATAAAAAATAAAAATAAAAAAATGAAATAGAATAACCATTTGACCTAGCAATCCCATTATTAGGTATATGCCCAATGGAACATAAATCATACTACATAATGATACATACATGCTGATATGGTATGGCTCTGTGTCCCCACCCAAATCTCATGTCAAATTTTAACCCTCACATGTCAGGGGAGGGACTTGATGGGAGTGATTAGATCATGGGGGTGGATTTCCCCCATGCTGGTCTCATGATATTGACTGAGTTCTCACAAGATCTGATGGTTTAAAAGTGTGGCACTTCTCCCCTCACTCTATCTCTCCTGCCACCATGTAAGATGTGCCTTGCTTTCCTTTCACCTTCTGCCATGATTGTAAGTTTCCTGAGGCCTCCCCAGCTATGTGGAACTGTAAGTCAGTTAGAACTCTTTTCTTTATAGTTACCTAGTTTCAGGTAGTTCTTTTTATAGCAGTGTGAAAATTGGTTAATATAGAAAATTGGTACCAGCAGAGTGAACCACTGTTATAAAGACACCTGAAAAGTGGAAATGACTTTGGAATGGGGTAATGGACAGAGGTTTGTACAGTTTGGAGGGCTTAGAAGAAGATAGGAAGATGTGGGAAAGTTTGGAACCTTCTAGAGACTTGTTGAATGGTTTTGACCAAAATGTTCATAGTGATATGGACAATAAAGTCCAGTCTGAGGTGGTCTCATCTAGAGATGAGGAACTTATTGGGAATTGGAGTAAAAGTCACTCTTTCTATGCTTTAGCAAAGAGGCTGGCAGCATTTTGCCCTTGCCCTAGAGATTTGTGGAACTTGAACTTGAGACATGATTTAAGGTATCTGACAGAATAAATTTCTAAGCAACAAAGCACTCAAGATGTAATATGGCTGTTTCTAAAAGTGTACATTCATATACATGAAGAAAGAGATGGTCTGAAATTAGAACTTATATTTAAGAGGGAAGCAGAACACAAAAGTTTGGAAAATGTGTAGCCTGACCCTGTAGCAGAAAAGAAAACCCATTTTCTGGGGAGAAATTCAAGACAGCTATATAAATTTGCATATGTAACAAAGAGCCAATTGTTAATAGTGAAGTCAGTGAGAAAAATGTCTCCAGGGAATTTCTAAGATCTTTGTGGCAGCCCCTCCCATCACAGGCTTGGAGGCCTAGGAGGGAAAAATGGGTTCATGGGCCAGACCCAGAGCCATGCTGCTCTCTGCAGCCTCGAGACATGGTACCCTGTGTCCCAGCTGCTCCAGCTCCAGCCATGGCTAAAAGGTGTCAAGGTACAGCTCAGGCCATTGCTTCATAGGGTGCAAGCCCCAAGCCTTGGCAGCTTCCATGTGGTGTTGGGCCTGTGGGTATGCAGAAGGCAAGAGTTTGGGAACCTCCGCCTAGATTTCAAAGCATGTATGGAAATAGATGGATGTCCAGGCAGAAGTCTGCTGCAGGGGCAGAGCCCTCATGGAGAACCTCTACAGCATAGGGCAGAGGAGAAATGTGGGGTTGGAGCCCCCACACAGTGACCCCACTGGGGCACTGTCTAGTGGTGCTGTGAGAAGAGGGTCACTGTCCTTCAGACCTCAAAACAGTAGAACCACTGACAGCTTGCACCATGCACCTAGATAAGACGCAGGCACTCAACACCAGCCTGTGAAAGCAGCTACAGGGGCTGTACCCTGTAGAGCCACAGGGGAGGAGCTGCCCAAGGCCTTGGGAGCCCACCCCTTGCATCAGTGTGCCCTGGATGTGGGATGTGGAGTCAAAGGAGATTATTTTGAAGCTTTAAGATTTAATGACTGCCCTGCTAAATTATGAACTTGCATTGAGGCTTGTAGCCCCTTTGTTTTGGCCAATTTCTCCCATTCAGAATGGGAGCACTTACCCAATGCCTGTACCCACACTGTGTCTTGAAAGTAACTAACTCGTTTCTGATTTTACAGGCTCATAGGTAGAAGGGGCTTACTTTGTCTCAGATGAAACTTTGGACTTTGGACTTCTGAGTTAATGCTGAAATGAGTTAAGACTGGGAGACTGAAAGAAGAAAAAAAATCTGGAAAGGAGGTAGGACTAACTTGTAGCTCCCACTCAAATGGATGTAGCTCCCACTCAAATGGACAGACAGTATGTGGAGACTCACAATGTAAAATATTGCTGCAAGAACCACTGCAGGAACATACCAAGAAAACAAAAAATTTCATAGACCCTTTCAAAGAAGCAGCTTGCTGCTGCAAACTCCATGAGACAGCCAAAAAACTGCAAGTGCCCAAAGCATGAGAGGGTGAAAGTCTGCCTCTGAACACACATCCTGAGGAACCTGAAAATCCAGATCACAGGAGAAGGATCTAACCTTAACTAGAGCTGAAATGAATTTAGAGAGCCAAGCAAAATATAAAATAAAAGCAGCAGTAGGAAGAGCTATGTAGGCACTCCTGGTCTCCAGGGAAGCCATTTCTAACTTTATCTCACGGGGGTTCTGGGGACAGCAGCCAGTAGAATTGGGGAAAAGCCACAGGGAAAAGGAGACTTTAAGCTGAACTTTGTAATAATTTTGACAAAGCATGAATTTTCCTGGGCAGTAGCCAGGGGTCAAACAGGAAGTACAGATATTAGCACAGAAGCCATGGCAGTCAGGGAGTAGCAAGTACTGAAAGCCCTGCTTGCTTTCTCAGCAGGGAGGCTTGTAGCCTGGGGCAAGATCTCAGCCCCGCACACTGGTGACCTGGATATAAATTCAGCTCTGTTGGCTGTTGGGAGAGTACAGCGGGAGTGAGATTAGCTTTGCTGGCTGCATGAGAGCTGGGTAAGGCCTGTCACTGCCGGCTTTCTCCAACCATCCTGGGGACCTGTATGAAGCTGCAGAGGCAGCCATAATCCCCCTTGGAACATAACTCCATTGGCATGAGAACCACCCCATCCCCAACAATGGCCACAGCAAGCCCCACCCAAGGACAGTCTGAGCTCAGACCCACCTAACCCTGCCCCTACCTGATGGTCTTTCTCTACCCACCCTGGTAGCTGATAACAAAACAACAACAAGAGACATAAACTGAAGGGAACTCTAAGACCCTGCCCATCACCTGAGAAACCCAAATACTTATCCAGGCAACCTTAGGGCAAGCTTGAATCCCCCCTATACTACCACAGCTCATGCTCTTTTGAAGGCACCACCTCCTGGCTGGAAGCCAACCAACTCAAGTCATTAGGAAACCAATTCTACTCCAAGGAAAGAGAAGGCCAACCAACTGAACTCCAAGGAAAGAGAAAACAATGGCTAATTCAACCACCTGGATAACCAGAGGTCTTGAGTCTGTCCACTTAACAACTTCACTGCTAGCATAACCAGCATTTAAGAAAACCAGTGCACTAAACAAAACTACAAGCAAGGATTCTCACAGAGTCCACTTCACTCTCCTGCTACCTCCACAAAAGCAGGTGTTGGTATCTATGCCTGAGAGACCTGAAGATGGATCACATCACAGGAATCCTTGCAGACACTCCCCAGTACCAGCCTAGAGCCTGGTAGTTCTGCTGGGTAGCTACACCCAGAAGAGCAATAACAATCACTTTAGCCCAGCTCTTAGGAAGCCCCAAGCCTAGGGAAGTGGGGAGGGCACCACATCAAGGGATCACCCCATGGAACAAAAGAATCTAAACAGCAACCCTTGAGTCCAGATCTTTCCTCTGACATAGTCTACCCAAATGAAAAGGAACAGAAAACAATTCTCATAATATGACAAAACAAAGTTCTATAACACCCCCAAAAGTTCACACTAGCTCATCAGTAATGGATCCAAACCAAGAAGAAATCTCTGAATTGCCAGAAAAATAATTCAGAAGGTCAATTATGAAGCTACTCAAGGAGGCACCAGAGAAAGGTGAAAAACAACTTAAAGACATTTTTTAAAATACAGGATATAAATGAAAAAATCTCCAGAGAAACAGATATCATAAATTAAAAAATCACAACTTCTAGAAATGAAAAACACAGAGAAATGCAAAATACACTGGAAAGTTTCAACAATAGAATTGAACAAGTAGAATAAAGAACTTCAGAGCTTGAAAACAAGGCTTTTGAATTAACCCAATTTGACAAAGACAAAGAAAAAAGAATCAAAAATAGGATTATGTTAAATTACCAAACCTAAGAATAATTTCGGAGTTCCTTTAAAGGAGAAGGGTTATATTTATATGAAATAATGCTCTTCTTACTCTAATGTCTGCAGTATTATGCTTCTGTGTTTAAATATTGAACGTTTATTACTCAGTATCTAAAATGTGAGAGGCAGGGTGATGTAGTGGAAAGAACCTTCAAATTGACCTGGGTTCTAATTGATTCTGACAGTTCCTAGGTGTGTAAATGACAAGCCACAAACTTTCTCTGAGACTGTCTTTATCTGTAAAATGGGAAGAAGAATACTCACTTCACTGGTTTGTTAAAATAATAAATTTAAAAAGACATTCAAAGTACCTGACAAAACATCTGGCACAAAATAGGCAGCTACTTAAAACAAGTTTTCATTAAAGTTGTGATTCCATTTAAAAAAAAAAAAAAAAGACTGGGGGACTGTTGAGACTGAATAATTGTATTTTGAAATATGAGAAGGACATGAGATTTGGGAGGCTCCAGTGGAAGAATGACATGGTTTGGCTCTGTGTTCCCACCCAAATCTCATGTTGAATTGTAATCCTCTCGTGTCAGGGAGGGGCCTGGTGGGAGGTGACTGGATCATGGGAGTGGATTTCCCCAATGCTATTCTCATGTTAGGGAGTTCTCATGAGATCTGATGGTTTAAATTTGTGGCACTTCCCCACTTGCTCTCTCTCTCTCCTGCCGCTATGTAAGATGTGCCTTGCTTCCCCTTCACCTTCTGCCATGATTGTAGATTTCCTGAGGCCTCCCCAGCCATCCATAACTGTGAGTCAATTAGAACTCTTTTATTTATAAATTACCCAGGTCTCCGGCAGTTCTTTATAGCAGTGTAAAAATGGACTAATACACATGCATATGTTCATCACAGCACCATTCACAATAGTGAATAGTCACAAAGACATGGAATCAACCCAGGTGCTCATCAATTGTGGATTGAATAAAAAAAAGTGGTACATATACACCAAGAAATACTATTATATATAGCCATAAAAAATAATGAAATCATGTCCTTTGTGGTAATATGGATGCAGCTGGAGGCCATTATCCTAAGCAAATTATTATAACACATAAACAGAAAACCAAATACCACACGTTCTCGCTTATAAGTGGAAACTAAATATGGAGTACACATGAACACAAAGAAGGGAATAATAGACACCAGGGCCTACTTGACAGTGGAGGGTGGGAGGAGGGTGAAGGTTGAAAAACTACCTATTGGATACTATGCATACTACCTGGGTGATGAAATAACGCATACAACAAATCCCAGTGATACATGTTTACAATGTTACATTTACATTTGTACATGTAACAAACCTCCATATGTACCCCCAATCCTAAAATTAAAGTTGGAAGGGAAAAAAAAGAAAATATTTACAGGTGAAATACCTTGATTTTAGGAATTTGTTTTAAATATTGTAGCAAAAAAAAAAAAAGTGGAGTAAAAGTAATAGATAAGACAAAATTAGCCAACTCTTTAAATGTGATTAATCTCGGTGATAGGTTCATTACTTTTTTATTTAAAATTTCTATATATAAATGTTTTGTTTTATTTAAATGATCTTTAAAATTGATTATTTAAAATTTATTAAATTCTATCTAAATTTTTAAAATTTTTAATCATAAAATATGTTTAGCCATTACACTATAGCCGTGTCTACATGGCACCAAAATAATGAATTGAAATGAGAAAGGTTTTGTGGTAGCCAGCCTCCAAGATGACTGCTATTGATCCTTGCCTTCTGGTACTTATGCATTTGTATAGTCACCTTCCATATCATTTCAGGCTTGCTCTGGGTGACCAAAAGAAACCAGTGGAAGTGATGGTGTGTGACTGCCAATGCTAGATGAGCAAAGACAATTCTGCTTCTGCTTTTTTGCTCTCTTGGATTACTCACCGTAAAGGAAGCCAGCAGCCATGCCATGATAATATTCAAGTAGGTCTATGGAGAGGTTTGAGTGGCATGGAACTAAGGCTTCCTGAAAATAGCTAGCACCAGCTTGCCAGCTATATGAATGAGTCATCTTGGAAACAGATCTTTCAGTCTCAGTCAAGCCTTGATGACTACAACACTGGCCAACATCTTGACTACACCCTCATGAGAAACTCCAAACCATAATAGCCTAGCTAAGCTGCTCTGTATTATAATTTTGGTTCAGAAAGAGAAGCAGAACCAGTTGGCAATATATGAATTTATTACAAGAAATTCGCTTGTGAAATTGTGGGTGGGGGCCAGCTTGGCAAGTCTGAAGTCCATAGAGCGGCCTTCAGAAAGAGAAGCTCACCAGCAAGCTGGCTTGGAACCCCAGCTGTTGTCCACAGGCCAACAACAAGGGAAGATCACAAACAAGCAAGCTGGAACTACATGGGCACAGGCCAAAGCTGTTATCTACAAATGGAAATCTCCTCTCTCTCCCTTTCTCCCCTCTCTCCCAGCTTCAGAAAAGTCTTAAGCCCTCTTTTAAGCGCTTCCAATTGTTTAAGTCAGGCCCACCCAATTTAAAGTCAACTGATTAGGGACTTCAATTACATCTGCAAAATCCCTTCACAGCAGCACCTAGATTTGTGTTTGACTGAATGACTGGGAGAAGGGGTGTGTGTGTGTGTGTGTGTGTGTGTGTGTGCACACTACAATACGGCTGCTGCTGCTTTTCTATCCTCCCACTCTCAAGAGACAATGTCTCTAGCAGCTCACTCTATCTGGAAACACACTAGAAAGGGAATTCTGAGGAATATTGTTCAACCTCACCAAGTTGACACATCCCAAAGCCATCACGCACTCTCAAATTCCTGATCAACAGAAACTACAAAGGATACATTTTGATCCCTGTTTTAAACCTTTAGGTTTTTTAGATAATTTGTTAGGCAGCAGTATATAACTGATACAGGTTTGATTGCACATGTTATCGGGTATCAAGTGTAACTACTAATTACAAGGGTAATTACTAAGGAAAAGCTGTTGCCTGAAGTCACCTGGGTTTTATTAGGTTTGTGCTTAATGAGTTCAAATAGTGTTTGTGGATATAATATTTGTGTGTAAGTTTGGTTTTGTGTATGGGGGCTTATTTGTGGGTGTGGGTAGGTTTAGATACGCTCTTCAACAGAATCGGACTAGCAGAATAACAAAGCACAAGAAGCATGTCAAGTAGAACATCTTGATTTTTCTCTAAAATACCTGATGGGTCTTAATATTTTCTGGAGAATAAAGTAAAAAAGACTTAGAAGCCTAAATTAGCCCAAACCCCGACTTCAAGTAGCCTCACCTTAAAATGATCTTACAACATGAGGTGTGATGTAAAGGGGCACAGACCTTACAGTCAGACACGTCTGGGCTCCGGCTCCAACTCCATCTCTCACCAATGATGTTCACTTGGCCACTTTACATAACCTTCCTGAGCCTCAGATTCTGCATTGGTAAAATAATAATATTTAAAGCTCCAGGAGTCTAGGCTTTCCTTTTAGTTGTCAGAGTCTGGAGGTTTAAAAAAGACAAAAATGTTTGGTCAAGAAGTATCTTAGATTTTATTAAATGAATGCGGCCCAGCCTTGGGAGTCAGGCTATGTTCCAGACACACCTGACTCAGAGAGTATGTCATCCAGAATGTTACAATATTTTCCTAGTCTTCTGTGAGAAAATACCTGGTCCAACAACCCATATAACAAATGGGAAGAAAAGGTTTCTGGGGCTGTCTTGCCCAGAGATTTTATCTCCTTTGATAGTCCATGATTTAAAATTTGATTTAGGTCTTCCATTGTTCTTTGGGGAAAGCAGTTACTAGACCTTCATTGTCCATATTAGTGAAGCTGGTTCCTATCAGGAAAATGAAGGAAGAGGGAAGAGAAGGTGTTTGTTAGGAAATGAGAAGGAATTGCTAAAAAAATTCCTTGGAGCATTGGGAAGATAAAATGAATAGCCATTCTGCAAATACTTGGACATTCGCAGCCATGCAAAGCCATTCTGTTTTGACATCCTTAGGTGAAAATGGGAAAGAGAAAAAACAAAATGTCCCATCTGCCACATTCACTTTCAATTTAAGTTTCATATTAAAATATGAAAAGTCTTATATTAAAATTGCTGTTTAATGTTCCTTAACATCAACTTCAGATGGTTATATAAGGATTAATACAATAACTTATAAAGCACCAAAAATATAACAGATGCTCAATAAATGCTCAGTCCCTTCTCTTTCCCTTAGTAGAGCAAAGTCAGTTTCTTATGCAAGTTTTGATCTCCTCCAGCCTTCTCCTACATGTTCCATCCCCCATCCCACCCCCACATCCCTTAACTTGGCATTTCTAAGACTGCAAATGGCAGGCAGCTGCACAAGGAAATTCTGTGGGGAGAGAGAATGTCAAGGGGCATGTCACTTCCCCACAAAGGAACTCACTCTCCTTCCCATTTTGTTATATGAGTTGTTTGGCCAGGTATATTCTCACAGAAAACTAGGAAAATACTGTAACGTTCTGGATAATGAAACCTCTGAGTCAGGTGTGACTGGAACATGGCCTAACTCCCAAGGCTGGGCCCCATTTATTTAATAGAAGCTAAGATTCTTCTTGATTCTGAAGCAGTTTTCTCACAGGTCTAAACAGCCCTGCCTCCAGCGTTTAATCATTGGATTCACTTCAATTCTGCTTAACTGTACTCTTCCACACACTCTGCTCCTCTCAGCCCTGACTGTACAGCAATGCTTTCCCTCAGTGAATGGGCATGTCCAGGTTGACGGTGATTTATACCTCACCTTTTACTTCACAATGCCACTTCAGGAATGGAGAAGCCATTAACCACTGGTTCAAATCATATGGTTCAAACCCGAAATGACTTTAACACTTGTTCTTTTCAGAGACCTACCTTTACAAGCACAGTTTAAATTAAGCAGGATGTCAGAGTCAGTCTCTTATCCTTTTTTTTTTTTAATAGGGTTTTTCTTTTTTTCCTGGTGAGGGAAAGGTTTGGAAAAAACATATATATACACATATATATATGTGTGTGTATATATATGTATATATGTATATATGTATGTATGTATATATGTATATGTATATATGTATATGTATATGTGTATATGTATATATAGATATGTAAAAATATATATAGAGACACACATATACATATATTTTGTTGGTTTGTTTGGTGTAGGAAAGAAAGGGATAGAGCCGGAATGTACGTATTTCACTTTTTTAAAAAAAGCATTTAAACCCAGTGCTCAGTACACAAAGGGATGCTTCCAGTAACTGAAAAGGGCTGAACTTCAGCCTATTTAATGTTAGAATCTGGCAAACAGTTCTAAAGGTTGGTTTTCAAATCTCTGCCCTAGGATCATTTATTTCTCTCAATGCACAAATACCAGGGAGCCAGTGGACCAGAGAAGGTAGATGGATAATTGGGCAACAGCACAACTCATTTCTCAGTTGGCAAACTTTTAAAGCTTTTTAAATCCTAAACAGCAACTGGCCTTTCCATTCCTGTTTTCCTCCTCCTGGCTGAAGTCTGCAACAGACTTTGCTGCCTCTGTTTTGACAGGCCTAAAAACTCTGTCCACTGTTAATATCAGGAAAAACACCCAACACAAACCTTTTGAGAATACCCAACCAGCCTTTTAACAGCTCAGGACATTTCTGGGTCTCCATGTTTCTGCCTAATGGGAAGACCCTGTTTCCAACTTGCACCACAATAGAGAAGTTGTTCATCTTGTGAAAGACGGTGAAATAAAATCATCTTTCCATTTGAGCAGTAGGTATAAAAAGAGAGCAGAATCCGTGTCCTCAATGAGCTCAGCACCGGAAAAAAGCAGAACCATGGTGCTGCACAAATGGAGTAGGGTTCCCAAGTTCACAAGGATTAACAGTGGGCTTTTTGTAGGGCCATTTTTGAGGGAGCAAATCACCTTAGCAACACTGAAACGAAAAACTTCATATTTAAAACATTGATTCTGGCCGGGTGCTATGACTCATGCCTGTAATCTCAGCACTTTGGCAGGCCAAGGCGGGTGGATCCCCTGAGGTCAGGAGTTCAAGACCAGCCCAGCCAACATGGTGAAACCCCATCTCTACTAAAAATGCAAAAAATTAGCCGGGCATGGTGGTGGGCTCCTGTAATCCCAGCCACTCGGGAGGCTGAGGCAGGAGAATTGCTTGAACCTGGGAGGCAGAGGTTGCAGTGAGCTGAGATGGCACCATTGTACCCCAGCCTGGGCAACAAGAGCAAAACTCCATCTCAAAAACAAACAACAACAACAAAAAAAAATTGATTCTCAACTCTGGCTGCACATTAGAATCATCTGAATAGAAATAGAAATGCCTGGATCCCACCCCTAGAGATGCTGCATTTTTTTAAGAACTCCAGCAGGGACTTTGATACACAGCCAGGACTGAGAACAGCTGACTGGGAACATGGAGAAAGTTCATAAACAGAGACTGTAGATTAGGATCTTGTTTGCAGAAAGAAACCTCCCAGAGCAAATCAACAGATGAAGATCAGCAGCCCCTGGACAGCACAGTCACATCTTGTGATGGCTTCTTACTGGGGAATTTGGGTTTTGTATCAAAACCCAAATGTGACCCAAAATATACAATTTGCTATAAATTTCCATGTATGTTGGTTGTTTAGTAGAGTGTCTCAGCTGAGCCACAACTGGAATGCAAAGTCTAGCTCCTCGCTACTCCCAAGATGTAGTCCTTAGACCAGCAACAGCAGCATAACCTGGGAGCTTGTTAAGAAGGCAGAGTATCAGCTCCATCCCAGTCCTGCTGAATCAGGATCTGCATTTCATTCAGTGAAATTCATGGAAGGCCATTGTTTTGGACTGAGCTCCTGCACTAGGCCCAATAGACCAGCCCAAACCAGAATGGAGTCACTTATGCTAGGTGCCATGTAATTAAACTGGACTTTGAAACCGACCAGTTTTCCAAAACCAGGAAATTCACAGCAACCAATCAGAAGGGGCCCAGTTACCTAAGCCAGCATGATAAGGAAGTAACCTCTATATTAACCGTATAAGGAAAGTAACTTTTAAATGACCAATTTGCTTTTTGTTCCGTTTCTGCTTTCTTCAGTATTTTCTTGCCTATAAAGCCAATCTCATCTGCTCAGTTCATCGGAGCGCCTATCTATTTTTATAGATGAGACACTGCCTGATTCATGAATCGCTAATAAAGCAAATTAGATCTTTAAACTTAATTAGTTGTAATTTTGTCTTTTGATAATTTTAACGAGATACTTTCAGGTAGTAAATCTGCTCATTAAAGTTTGGGAAGCAATGATCTTACTGTGAAATTGACAAGCTAGTGACCCCTCCAGAAACTTATTTTTATAAATTGACATAAGGATGGATGGAAAGGTTGCTTTGTTTGATTTGTTTGCAGTTGTGATTTGGTTTAATTTGCTAAAGAATAAGGGGTTTGGTGTGTGGGTGTTTGGAAAGAAAAGAGGAGACAAGAACAATGGATTATGTGCTTTAAGCCCCAGTAGAAAAAATTAGGAAGTCAAAAGGTGAAGAAGCTTGTTTTCCTGAAAGACTTAGTGAGACTCAGGTTACCAAATGGTACTCTACCAGAACCCACATGATAAATGACAGCAACCAAGATAGGAGAAATCTTCCCACTGCTGTCCAAAACCTGACAAAACCAGGACTGCTAGGTTTGCAAGCAATGACAGATAGCAGCCTCAGCACATAAACTAGCACTTTGAAGGAGGGTAACAACCAGAGGACAATGATGAGGCTCCTTGTCAAGGCAGGCAGCAGTAGCAGCAGAACTAGAATTGTTCTTATGTATACATGCCTGGCACAGAGCAGGTACTTGACAAATACCTGAAAAAGGCCAGATAGCAAATGTTTTAGGCTTTGTGTTGATATGGTTTGGCTGTGTCCCCACCCAAATCTCATCTTGAATTTCCACGTGCTGTGGGAGGGACCCAGTGGGAGGTAATTGAATCATGGGGGGGCAGGTCTTCCCCATGCTGTTCTCATGATAGTGAATAAGTTTCACGAGATCTGATGGTTTTAAAAAGAGGAGTTTCCCTGCACAAGCTCTCTTCTCTTGTCTGCCACCATGTAAGATGTGCCTTTCATCTTTCACCTTTCACCACAATTATGAGGCCTCCCCAGCCATGTGGAACTGTAAGTTCAATAAACCTCTTTCTTTTGTAGATTGCCCAGTCTCAGGTATGTCTTTATCAGCAGCATGAAAACGGATTTTAGCATGAAAAGGCAGTGTGTCTACAGTCCCTGTTGCAACTACTCAACTATATCTTTATAGCCTGAAAGCAGCCATAAACACATAAACAAATAGGTGTGGCTGTGTTCCAATAAAACATTATTTACAAAAACAGGCGATTCCATGAATTCTGCCAATCTCTGTTTCAGAGATACATTCAGAAGAGCCTATAGATGAAAGTATAAAATGTGTGGAATTTGCTCCTAAACCTTACATTGGAAAGGAGGGGAACGTGAGTGGAGAGTATGAATGAAACCAAGTTGGTCATGTGTTGATTATTAGCTGAGGATGGAAACAGGAATTCATTATAATTGTGGTTCTCAAAATGTGGCTCCTGGACCAGCAGCATCAGCATCACCTGGAAACTTGTTATAAATGCAAATTGCAAGCCCCACTTCATATCTCTTGACAGAAACTCTGGGAATAAATCTCAGCAATCTGTTTTTATGAGCCTTCCAGGTTATTTTAATGGACACTAACATTATTCTCTCTCTCTGTATACTCTCCTATATGTTTGAAATTCTTATATAGTAAAAAGTTGAGTTTTTTAAATCTGATTCCCAAAGTGGCCACACCAATAAGCAGTGTCTTTCAGGCAATATCAATTGTTTTCATTGGAGTATGATACATTCCTATAGCACACACATTTTAAAATGCAAATGAAAACAACCTCTTTTGAAATGCTTATTAGGTCTATTACCTAACTCTAAACAAATGACTAGCATACACATTTTTGTATAGTCTTGGGCTTTTCAAAAAATCATTATTAGTAGTAGTAAGACAGAAGCTTACCCACCAAAAGTTTATTTTGTATGTACCATTGGTTGAACATCTTTATTAATTTTTCAGGAAAAAAAATCATTTGGTCTGGAAACAATGCTATTATTGAGAATACATTTTCCCAATACCCGATTTTCTTGTGTGTGTGTGTGTGTGTGTGTGTGTTCTGATTCTTTTTTCTTTTTTATACTTTAGGTTCTAGGGTACATGTGCACAATGTGCAGGTTTGTTACATATGCATACATGTGCCATGTTGGTGTGCTGCACCAGTTAACTCATCATTTACATTAGGTATATCTCCTAATGCTATCCCTCCCCCCTCCCTCCACCCCAGGACAGGCCCCAGTGTGTGATGTTCCCCACCCTGTGTCCAAGTGTTATCATTGTTCAATTCCCACCTGTAAGTGAGAACATGCAGTGTTTGGTTTTCTGTCCTTGCGACAGTTTGCTGAGAATGATGGTTTCCAGCTTCATCCATGTCCCTACAAAGGACACAAACTCATCCTTTTTTATGGCTGCATAGTATTCCGTGGTGTATATGTGCCACATTTTCTTAATCCAGTCTATCATTGATGGACATTTGGGTTGGTTCCAAGTCTTTGCTATTGTGAATAGTGCTGCAATAAACACACATATGCATGTGTCTTTATAGCAGCATGATTCATAATCCTTTGGAATACCCTATTTTCTATAGGTATCAAATATCCTTTTCAAGATTTTATTACATTTTTACAATGATTTACACCATTTATAATTATGATATTATGGGCTTCCAAGATGGCCACATAGGAACAGCTCCAGTCTACAGCTCCCAGTGAGATTGACGCAGAAGATGGGTGATTTCTGCATTTCCAACTGAGGTACCTGGTTAATCTCATTGGGACTGGTTGGACAGGGGGTGCAGCCCACAAAGGGCATGCCAAGGAAGGATGGGGCATCACCCCACCCATGAAGCACAAGGGGTTGGGGGATTTCCCTTTCCTAGCCAAGGGAAGCCGTGAGTTTCTGTAACTGGGGGAACAGTACACTTCTGCCCAAATACTGCACTTTTCCCACAGTCTTCACAACTGGCAGACCAGGAGATTCCCTCTTGTGCCTGACTCAGTGGGTCCCATGCCCACAGAGCCTTGCTCACTGCTAGCACAGCAGTCTGAGATCAACCTGGGACCCTGGAGCTTCGTGAGGGGAGGAGTGTCCACCATTGCTGAGGCTTGAATAGGCAGTTCTATGTTCACAGTGTAAACAAAGTGGCAAGGAAGCTTGAACTGGGCAGAGCACATCGCAGCTCAGCAAGGCCTACTGCCTCTCTAGATTCCATCTCTGGGGGCAGGGCATATCTGAACAAAAGACAGCAGAGAGCTTCTCCAACTTAAACGTCCCTGCCTCACAGCTCTGAAGAGAGGAGTGGTTCTCCCAGCATGGCATTCAAGCTCTGATAATGGACAGACTGCCTCCTCAAGTGGGTCCCTGACCCCTGTGTAGCCTGACCAGGAGACACCTCCCAGTAGGATCCAACAGACACCTCATACACGTGGATGCCCCTCTGGGACGAAGCTTCCAGAGGAAGGATGAGGCAGCAATATTTGCGGTCCTGCAGACTCTGCTGGTGATACCCAGGCAAACAGGATCTGGAGTGGACCTCCAGCAAACTCCAACAGACCTGCAACTGAGAGGCTTGTCTGTTAGAAGAAAAACTAAAATACAGAAATAGCATAAACATCAACAAAAGGGACATCCACACAAAAACCCCATCCGTAGGTCACCAACATCAAAGACCAAAGGTAGATAAAACCACAAAGATAGGGAGAAACCACAGCAGAAAGGCTGAAAATTCCAAAAACCAGAACGTCTCTTCTCCTCGAAAGGAACACAACTCCTCGCCAGCAAGAAAACAAAACTGGATGGAGAATGAGTTTGATGAGTTGACAGAAGTAGGCTTCAGAAGGTCGGTAATAACAAACTTCTCCGAGCTAAAGGAGCATGTTCTAACCCATTGCAAGGAAGCTAAAAACCTTGAAAAAATGTTAGATGAATGGCTAACTAGAATAACCAGTGTAGAGAAGAGCTTAAATGACCTGATGGAGCTGAAAACCACAGTACAAGAATTTTGTGAAGCATACACAAGCTTCAATGACAATTTGATCAAGCGGAAGAAAGGATATCAGTGATTGAAGATCAAATTAATGAAATAAAGCAAGAAGACAAGATTAGAGAAAAAAGAGTGAAAAGAAATGAACAAAGCCTCCAAGAAATTTGGGACTATGTGAAAAGACCAAATCTACTTTTGATTGGTGTACCTGAAAGTGACAGAGAGAATGGAACCAAGTTAGAACACACTCTTCAGGATATCATCCAAGAGAACTTCCCCAACCTAGCAAGGCAGGCCAACATTCAAATTCAGGAAATACAGAGAACACCACAAAGATACTCCTCAAGAAGAGCAACCCCAAGATACATAATTGTCAGATTCACCAAGGTTGAAATGCAGGAAAAAATGTTAAAGGCAGCCAGAGAGAAATGTCGGGTTACCCACAAAGGGAAGCCCATCAGACTAACAGCAGATCTCTTGGCAGAAACCCTATAAGCCAGAAGAGAGAGGGGGTCAATATTCAACATTCTTAAAGGAAAGAATTTTCAACCCAGAATTTCATATCCAGCCAAACTAAGCTTCATAAGTGAAGGAGAAATAAAATCCTTTACAGACAAGCAAATGCTGAGAGATTTTGTCACCACCAGGCCTGCCTTACAAGAGCTCCTGAAGGAGGCACAAACATGGAAAGGAACAACCGGGACCAGCCACTGCAAAAACATATAAAATTGTAAAGACCATCGATGCTAGGAAGAAACTGCATCAACTAATGGGCAAAATAACCAGCTAACATCATAATGACAGGATCAAATTCACACATAACAATAATTAACCTTAAATGAAAATGGGTTAAATGCCCTAATTAAAAGACACAGACTGGCAAATTGGATAGAGTCAAGACCAATCCGTGTGCTGTATTCAGGAGACCCATCTCACAAGCAAAGACACACACAGGCTCAAAATGAAGGGATGGAGGAAGATCTACCAAGCACATGGAAAACACAAAAAAGCAGGGGTTGCAATCCTGGTCTCTGATAAAACTGACTTTAAACCAGCAAAGATCAAAAGAAACAAAGAAGGCCATTACATAATGGTAAAGGGATCAATTCAACAAGAAGAACTAACTATCCTAAACATATATGCACCCAATACAGGAGCACCCAGATTCATAAAGCAAGTTCTTAGAGACCTGCAAAGAGACTTAGGCTCCCACACAATAATAATGGGAGACTTTAACACCCCACTGTCAACATTAGACAGATCAGTGAGACAGGAAATTAACAAGGATATCCGGAAATTGAACTCAGCTCTGGACCAAGCGGACCTAATAGACATCTACAGAACTCTCCACCCTAAATCAACAGAATATAGATTCTTCTCAGCACCACATTGCACTTATTACAAAATTGACCACATAATTGGAAGTAAAACACTCCTCGGCAAATGTAAAAGAACAGAAATCACAACAAACTGTCTCTCTCAGACTTCAGTGCAATCAAATTAGAACTCAGGATTGAGAAACTCACTCAAAACCACACAACTGCATGGAAACTGAACAATCTGCTCCTGAATGACTACTGGGTAAATAATGAAATGAAGGCAGAAATAAAGATGTTCTTTGAAACCAATGAGAACAAAGACACAACATATCAGAATCTCTGGGACGCATTTAAAGCAGTGCATAGAGGGAAATTTATAGCACTAAATGCCCACAAGAGAAAGCAGGAAAGATCTAAAATCAACACCCTAACATCACAATTAAAAGAACTAGAGAAGCAAGAGCAAACACATTCAAAAGCTAGCAGAAGACAAGAAATAACTAAGATCAGAGCAGAACTGAAGAAGATAGAGACACAAAAAACCCTTCAAAAAATCAATGAATCCAGGAGCTGGTTTTTTGAAAAGATCAACATAGACAGACCACTAGCAAGACTAATAAAGAAGAAAAGAGATAAGAATCAAATAGATGCAATAAAAAATGATAAAGTGGGTATCACCACTGATCCCACAGAAATACAAACTACCATCAGAGAATACTATAAACACCTCTATGCAAACAAACTAGATAATCTAGAAGAAATGGATAAATTCCTGGACACATACACCCTCCCAAGACTAAACCAGGAAGAAGCTGAATCTCTGAATAGACCAATAGCAGGTTCTGAAATTGAGGCAATAATGAATAGCCTACCAACAAAAAAAGTCCAGGACCAGATGGATCCACAGCCGAATTCTACCAGAGGTACAATGAGGAGCTGATACCACTCCTTCTGAAACTATTCCAATCAACAGAAAAAGAGGGAATTCTCCCTAACTCATTTTAGGAAGCCAGCATCATCCTGATCCCAGAGTCTGGCAGAGACACAACAAAAAGAGAATTTTAGGCCAATATTCCTGATGAACATCAAAGTGAAAATCCTCAGTAAAATACTGGCAAACCAAATCCAGCAGCACATCAAAAAGCTTATCCACCACGATCAACTTGGCTTATCCCTGGCATGCAAGGCTGGTTCAACACATGGAAATCAATAAACATAATCCATCACATAAACAGAACCAATGACAAAAACCACATGATTATCTCAATAGATGCAGAAAAGTCCTTCAACAACAAAATTCAACAGCCTTTCATGCTAGAAACTCTCAATAAACTAGGTATTGATGGAATGTATCTCAAAATAATAGCTATTTACAACAAACCCACATCAAATATCATACTCAATGGGCAAAACTGAAAGCATTCCCTTTGAAAACCGGCACAAGACAAGGACGCCCTCTCTCACCACTGCTATTCAACATAGTATTGGAATTCTGGCCAGAGCAATCAGGCAAGAGAAAGAAATAAAGTGTATTCAATTAGGAAAAGAGGAAGTCAAATTGTCTCTGCAGATGACATGATTCTATATTTAGAAAAACCCATTGTCTCAGCCCAAAATCTCCTTAAGCTGATAAGCAACTTTAGCAAAGTCTCAGGATACAAAGTCAATGTGCAAAAATCACAAGCATTCCTATACACCATTAATAGACAAACAGCCAAATCATGAGTGAACTCCCATTTGCAATTACTACAAGAGAATAAAATACCTAGGAATCTAACTTACAAGGGATGTGAAGGACCTCTTCAAGGGAACTAGAAACCACTGCTCAATGAAATAAAGAGGATACAAACAAATGGAAGAACATTCCCTGCTCATGGGTAGGAAGAATCAATATCATGAAAATGGCCATACTGTCCATGGTAATTTAGAGATTCAATGCTATCCCCATCAAGCTATCATGGACTTTCTTCACACGATTAGAAAAAACTACTTTAAATTTCATATGGGACCAAAAAAGAGCCCACATTGCCAAGACAACCCTAAGCCAAAAGAACAAAGCTGGAGGCATCACGCTACCTGACTTCAAACTATATTACAAGGCTACAGTAACCAAAACAGCATGGTACTGGTACCAAAACAGATAAATAGAGCAATGGAACAGAACAGAGGCCTCAGAAATAACACTACACATCTACAACCATCTGACCTTTGACAAACCTGACAAAAACAAGAAATGGGGAAAGGATTCCCTATTTAATAAATGGTGCTGGGAAAATTGTCTAGCCATATGTAGAAAGCTGAAACTCGATCCCTTCCTTACACCTTACACAAAAATTAACTCAAGATGGATTAAAGACTTAAATGTAAGACCTGAAATCATAAAAACCCTAGAAGAAAACCTAGGCAATACCATTCAGGACATAGGCATGGGCAAAGCCTTCATGTCTAAAACACCAAAAGCAATGGCAACAAAAGCCAAAATAGACAAATGGGATCCAATTAAACTAAAGAGCTTCTGCACAGCAAAAGAAACTATCATCAGAGTGAACAGGCAACCTACAGAATGGGACAAAATTTTTGCAATCTACCCATCTGACAAAGGGCTAATATCCAGAATCTACAAAGAACTTAAACAAATTTACAAGAAAAAAAACAAACAACCCCATCAAAAAGTGGGCAAAGGATGTGAACAGACACTTCTCAAAAGAAGACATTTATGCAGCCAGCAGACATATGAAAAAATGCTCATCATCAATGGTCATCAGAGAAAGGAAAATCAAGACCACAATGAGATACCATCTCATGCCAGTTAGAATGGTGATCATTAAAAAGTCAGGAAAAAACAGATGCTGGAGAGGATGTGGAGAAATAGGAACTCTTACCTGTTGGTGGGAGTGTAAATTAGTTCAACCATTGTGGAAGACAGTGTGGCGATTCCTCAAGGATCTAGTATTAGAAATACCATTTTACCCAGCAATCCCATTACTGTGTATATACCCAAAGGATTATAAATCATTCTACTATAAAGACACATGCACACCTATGTTTGTTGTGGCACTATTCGCAATAGCAAAGACTTGGAACCAACCCAAATGTCCATCAATAACAGACTGGATAAAGAAAATGTGGCACATAAACACCATGGAATACTATGCAGTCATAAAAAAGGATGAGTTCATGTCCTTCACAGGGACATGGATGAAGCTGGAAACCATCATTCTCAGCAAAATATCACAAGGACAGAAAACCAAACACTGCATGTTCTCACTCATAAGTGGGAGGTGAACAATGAGAACACATGGACAAAGGGAGGGGAACATCACACACTGGGGCCTATTGGGGGTGGGGGTCTTGGGGAGGGATAGCGTTAGGAGAAATACCTAATGTAAATGATGAGTTGATGGGTGCAGCAAACCAGCATGGCACATGTATACCTATGTAATAGACCTGCATGTTGTGCACATGTTCCCTAGAACTACCCTAGTAAAATTAAAAAAAAAAAAAAGAAATGAGGCTTGTGGAGCACTTCTCCATTAATCTGTAAAATTTATTCTTCATAGAATGAAGATGCTCTCTGGATAGCAAAACAGTAAGTAACATGCTTTTTTGTCACATAAATTGACTTCAGATTCCCTCATCTCTGTATTACTGAGCCCTTCTTTACCTGTGTCTAAATGTATCAACTATTCATTCTAAAACTACTGATGGTGACAATAAATCTAGAGAAGGCACCCAGAACTTCATATATTGTGTCTAATACAACATCAGCAGAGGTTACATCATTTGCATTTCTTGATCTGATTTGCCTAAATGCCTTTAGTCTATCAGGATGTAAATGCACTACTGAAAGTTGGATTTTTTTATGTCAAATATTCAGTATTTTAAAAAGCATATTTTTATAAAGTAACTAATCCAGGCATATTGTACTCATTATATATAATAGCATACAAATTCTCCTCCCATAATAAAGTGAATTATTTTATTAGTTAAGATAATTTGGTTGCAAGAAATAGAAATGGCCTGGCTAACTTATGCAGAAAAAGAAATGTATGGGGGAAAGATGGGATAACTCACAAAATGGAATTGAATGGGGAATAAACACACTCAGAAAGGGCAGGAACTAAGGCAACCCCAGGCAAAAGCAGAAGGGTAACCTGATGCATGTAACTTCAGGGAGTACTGCAGAGATTACGAAGGAAAATGCCCGCCATTTTGGGTGTTTATATCACTCTTCTCAAGAATGTAAATGCCTTCCAGTCATCAGATCACTGATTGATAGCCCCACCAAAGCAAAACTAGGGTGCTGTTAAGAAGAAGGATAGCTGGTAGGAGGCAAGAATAGCAAATGTTCACTGCAATAATTAATTTTTAAAATATGGGCAAAATACCACTTAAAAGCAAGCCAATTGTGGGAATCCCTCATTCAAGAAGTTGAATAAGGCCACCAAGAAAGTCGTTCATAACACAAAGCCTGTTACCTCTTTAGTTCTGGTTATATAATTGAAGACACATATACATACACACCCAAAAAATATGAGTAAAAATTATAAAGTATGTACATGTGAATCATATTCAGCCTAATAATACAGGAAGTTCATTCATTTATTTATCCACAAATATTTAGACACTGTTCTAAATAATAAGGATGCATCACTGAAAAAAAAATGTTTTTAAAGCCCTGCCTTGCGGAACTTACATATTAATTAGAGGGAGACAAACAAAAGACAAAATAAGTAGGTTATGTAATATCTTAGAAGGTGATAATTGCTACAGAGAAAAGCAAATAAGGGAAGACTGATAGGGAGTACCAGGTCAGGGCTGTGAATCTAAAGAGAGTGGCAGGAAAGATCTTACTGAGATGACAGTGGAGCAAAGACTTGTAGGAAGAGAGGGAGTAAGTCAGGCAAATATCTGAAGGAAAGTATTCCAGGAAGAAGGTATTCCAGTAAGTGCAAGGCATTGAGCCTAGTCACATGAGGCCTTGTAGGCCACTGTGAAGCCTTTGGCTTTTTCTCTAAGTGACATGGGAAACCTATGCTGCAGAGAATTAATGTCACACCCAAAAATTTATCCTTGTCTTGAATCATCTTTCTATTCCAAAACCTGTCAAACTAAGATATTCTCTTCCCTCTAGCTCTCAAAGCCTATCTCTACTCTTTCTAGACGACCAAAGATTTCTGCAATAGCCAGGCATTGTCTTCTTCCCATACATTCCTTTTTATGCTTAAGTTAGCCAGGCCATTTCTACTTCTTGCAACCAAATCATCTTAACTGATTAAATAATTAACTTTATCATTAGAAGAGAATTTGTATATTATATAGATTGAAAGCAATATGCCTGGATAAGTTATTTTGTAGAAAATATGCTTGGTAAGGTATTGAATATTTAACATTAAAAAGCCAACTTTCAGTAGTGCATTTTAATCCTGTTAGACTGAAGGCATTTAGGCAAATCAGATGAAGAAGTAGCAATGGGCTGGGTGCAGTAGTTCATGCCTGTAATCCCAGAGCTTTAGGAGGCCAAGGCAGGATGATCACTTGAAGCCAGGAATTGGGGACCAGCTGGGGCAACATAGCAAGATCCTAGCTCTACAAAAATAAAAAGGTGTGGTGGCACATTCCTATAGTCCTAGCTACTTAGGAGGCTGAGGTGGGAGGATTGTTTGAGCCCAGGAGTTCAAAGGCTGCAGTAAGCTAGGATCACACTACTGCACACCAGCCTGGGTGACAGAGAGACTCTGTCTCCAAAAAAAAAAAAAAAGTAGAAATAATGTAACCTACTCAACTATACCAGTCAATGTCCAACCAGGAGACAGAAACTACATAACAATTTTAACAGGGAAAGTGTATAACAGAGGATTAGAGTACTGATGGACAAGCTAATAAGACATAAAGAAAATTCTAAAGAATACAGATATTACAAATACCACCCCTAGGCTGAGACAGAGTATCCAAGAAAGAACTCCCCTCCTTCTAGGGCTGAGATCCAGACCTTGTTGGAGAGAGCACTGCCATAGCTCACTGGATAGAGAGAAGTCGCCCAGGTGCCATACTGGTGGAACTTTCTGGAAATCTACCATCTGGAGCACCAGAGAAAGCCATACACAGGGAGATGTCATGCCTTGGAACTTGTTGCAGAACTGCCAAGGGACTACCATGGGATGATGCTGGATGCTGGAATGCTGTTGGTTGCCATGAACTGCAGAAGCTGAGCACGGAGAAGCCATTCACTAAAGGAGCGCAATGCTGGAGGAGACATACTTTGCAGAAACTGAGTACTGAAGAAAGCTGTGCCCTACACTGACAGAATGGCAAGGCAGAAGCCATGCATAGAGCAGGAGCCTGTCAATAAAGGGCACTGGAATCAGGAAGAAAAACATATTCTTCTCCAATATTCCTCCAGCACCCTCTATTCACAAAGCTTAACATCATGCCAGCTGGCAAAACAGAAAAATTTCAAGGGCCCATCTCCATTTTCATAGAGCAAGCAGTGAATAGTACATTCAAACCTGAGAAGCAGTAAATTAGTAACTGGCAAACAATCTGTTCTTGTTTGAATACAATATTCAAGTGTTAACTATTGATTAACTGCAATATTATACTTCTGTAAACGTTGCTACTTTCCATTGCAAGGTACTCTCCCACCCAAAGAAATCCAAAACCATGCGTAAGTGTGAAGCTCCAGGTTCTGAAAAGTATATCTATCTGGTCTGAAAATTCTACACTTATACATGAATGTCTATTTCAGGCCTTGGAGAGTTCCCTCGTTAAAGAATGTTTTGCATAGGTTTGGATGCATGGTGTTCTATCTAATCATGAATTCAAATGATTTGTATTCACTTTAAATTCTTGCCTCTTGATATTTGGGTATTTTTTCTTTCTGAGATAAGCACATAATTGTTGTCTACCTTTACTTGATCATTATGAAGAATGGCAGAATAAGATACATCATGATGGAAAAAGCACTGGCTCTATGTCAGACAGACTTGATTTTAAGTTCTGACTCCACCACTTGCCAGGTGTGTGGCCTTAAATAGATCATTGTATCTCTGTGAGCTTCAATTTCCTCATCTCTTGCTTGGGATAATAACACCCACTTTGCAGGATTTAAAGTTACTGTATAGAACACCTAGTAAAATACTTGCCCCAGAAAAAGCATCTATTTTAAAAGATGGCCTGGATCTGGGAATTACACTGCTTTGATATCATTAGGGGTTTTATTCACCTGCCCATGGTGGACATTGCTAGCATGCTAAGTTAATTCAAACTTTCATTCCAAAGACAGTTATGGTAGCATAAAATAAAGCTTCATCAAATGTTCCATTAATGACAATGGAAATTTTAAACAATATTCCAGAGTTACAGGAAAAAACACCAAAGGTTAATAGAGACTCTTGGAAATATTAGCTTTCCCTATGATGCCTCTCCCTGACTTTTGTTGTTCTTCATAAATGAGAGATGACTTTTAAAGTGAAATCCCCTTTCCTCTTAAAAGTAGCTTGCTATAATAATTCTATTCCCAACTTAGAAAATTCAAATAACTACTTAAGGGAAAATAAACCACTTCTTTACATTAAATGCAGCTGTTTACAAGAGCTTACCAAATGGAATCGGATGCTGTGCTAAAGAACTGTGAAAATAAAACTCAAACTTGAGATCTGTATACTTTGCTTAAAAATGCCAGAATGAGGCCAGACATGGTGGCTTATGCCTGTAATCCCAATATTTGGGGAGGCCAAGGCAGGAGGATCGCTTAAACCTAGGAGTTCAGGACCCACCTGGGCAACATGGCAAGACCCTCTCGCCATTCAACATCCTTTTTTTTTTTTTTTTGAGATAGAATCTTGATCTGTCACCTAGGCTGGAGTGCAGTGGTGCAATCTTGGCTCACTGCAACCTCTGCCTCCCGGGTTCAAGCGAGTCTCCTGCCTCAGCCTCCAAAGTAGCTAGGATTACAGGCACCCACCACCAAGCCTGGCTAATTTTTGTATTTTTAGCAGAGACAGAGTTTCACCATGTTGGCCAGGCTGGTCTCAAACTCCTGACCTCAGGTGATCTGCCCGCCTCAGCCTCCCAAAGTATTGGGATTACAGGTGTGAGCCACCACGCCTGGCCCATAAAATATTAAATTTTTAAAAACCACCAGAATTAACTCACTCTCAAGTTTCTCATCACAATAAACAAATTGTTAGAACTTTCATCCAGTTTAATCTCTATTTCCAAAAACCACAATAGACTTTCTAGCCTGTGTGTTCCTTCAGTTCATTTTACATTACCAATGTCTTTCATATTCAGACCACACAGGTTGCCAAATATTTTTTCTCTTTTTAAAAATAGATGTCAGCCAGAGAGGAGTGTAACTCTTCTTTGGCAACAGAGTTCTGAAGTTTCCTCTAAACCAACTGAATTCTTGACAAGATCACAAAAACAAGAATATAATGGAATCCAGGTGTTAGACTAATTATTAATTTAACCATAAATGAAGAAAAGAAAAATATTAATCTTTGATGCAAGTTGTTGTGTTATTACAGAATCCATCATAATGAAGTAATGACCCCACTGTGCTCAGAGGTTAACTGTACCAATGGTAGTGTATGGACCGAATGTTAATGAGTTGTGTGTATGGCATCAGGTAAGCTGGAGATGGCAGAGGAAGCTATTGTGATAGACAGATAATTACAATGGAAGTCATGTCTTGGGTAATGAGCAGGATTTACATCACACCTTTTCAGTCACAGCACAATTTCTTTAGCTCTGTTTATAGTAATCTGTGGGATTATTTGACAGCAAGGTGACATTTTGACTTTGGAACAATTTTTTCTCATAGAAAGCACAATTACCCACTGATATAGTGATATGCAATTAAACACAGCCATTTGGGGTAATTTACATTTTTTTAATGTACAAACAGTGAATATATTATTGTTCATTAGCACATGAGATTATTTAGTCCTTGTATATAGCCCTTTTGGTCTAAATGTCTTGGTCATATGCAAATTGATACATTCTGAAATTTTTAATTGCCTATTATTTAAATAAGAAGTTTCAATTTTCTAAATATAGGAGAACACTGGGAGCTAAAAGTAATATCTGTGATGGATCAGATCTTTATTGTATGCAGACACTGTGTTTCAAGGAACATTATTTGGCTCATATTCTATCTAAACCCATTTAACCAAAAAAATCTATATTATATAAGAATTTTATTATAGTGTAAAATTTAATATGCTGGAAATATGTATTAATTATTATGAGTCTAGTTCTTTTATTTCAACTCACTGAGATATCAATAATGCACCACACTGAGTATGCAAAAGAGGGAAACCTCTCTTTGTATTTTTCTAGGCTTTGCCAAGTTCAGGGGCAATCCTTTCCCTTGAGAGCATGTGTTTTGTGTGTGTGTGTGTGTGTGTGTGTGCACATGCATGCACATACATGCATTCATATTTGTCTACATTTAGCCCTCTTTCAATTAATTGCATGTAAAGTGGTAAAGTTTCACCCCACATTGGTTTCTCTTGCCATCTCTCAGAACCAACCTCATCTCTCCTTAAAGTGTATTCAGGAGAAATCAGTATATTTTAACTTTAGCCTAAACCAAACAGAATTTTATGGTGAAGTCTGAAATAAATTATTTATTATATGTCATAATCAAATAATTTAAGAATCAACAATTCACTTTCAAAATCACAGAAAATAAGAAATATATATATTCTGTGGTATATTAATAGGTAACATTTAAAATGCACAAAAAACATTGGGAAGTATTGTTCTGTTACATATTATGAACACATAATTAGTTAAGCACAACAAAAAACTCTAATTTCTTGGTGGGATACTATCTGATTGCCAGAGATTAGCAGAAATACTAAACCTCTGAAATACTTATCTATAATGTGTGATAATATAACTACCTAATGAAGCTTATTGTGCGAATATAATGAGACAAAGCAGGGGTCAGCAAACCAGGAACCACAAGCCAAATGTGACCCACCACTCATTTTTATACAGCCCACAAGATGAGAATGGTTTTTACATTTTTTAATGGTTGGAAAAAATCAGAAGAAAAACAGTATTTCATGATGTATAAAAATTATAACAAATTCAAATCTGAATCCATAAATAAAATGATATTGAAACCCAGCTACAGTCATTCATTTTTGCATTGTCTGTGGCCACTTTCACACTACAACAGCAGAGGTGAGCAGCTGCAATAGAGACTTTATGGCCCGCAAAACCTAAAATATTTACTATCTGGCCCTAAACAGAAAAAGGTTGAGATAAGCATGAAAACCACTTAGCATAATGCTTGGCATACAGTAGAGGCTCAATAAATGGTATTTATTTACATTAAATGTCCTTAATATATTCATATATAGTAAATGAACTAAAAATGATGGGTCTCCCAAGTGCTATAAATGACGCCAAAATGTAATATGGAGACCCAGCTCAATAAAACACCCAGGCCACTCAGGGCCCCTAACAGGGCTTTCCCCATCATCATTCTGCACCCCCACTACCCGCTGCAGGACTTGCTTCTACTTGCCATCTGCTCTGCAGAGAGGATGGAGAGGCACCTTCTGCATGCCTCATGGCTGTCTTCAATGCTATTTTAGATTACTGCTCAAAATTAATCACTCCCTCCCCCACCACTTCCTTGGGTGTCATGTACTTTGGAAATGGCCAGATGACTTGCTTTGGAATGGAATGTGAGCAGACATATCATGACCTATTAGAACTCTCGTTTTCAGCATATTCATTCTAGACCCCAAGTACACAGGAAGAAAAAGTTGTTCAAACTAGAAATAATTCCCTAATGAACTGGCCACCAACAAAATTAGTCCCCACTTCAAACTTCCCTTGCTGTTGGAGTAATTCCCTGCCCATCAGATCAGAAGCTTAATCTTCTCTCTTGATTATTCAGTGTTTCCAGCCTGATTAGACCCATGGTCTATCCTGCCAGCCAGATGTCTACTGCCCAAGCAGTTGTCAAGGTTACATTTTTAGGTCTACAAGAATGTTGAAATTGATTATTCACAAATGTAAAGCCTCAGTTAAATTTGTTCCTTCTGCCAGCCACATGGAAAGGAAACACTCTGGTGAAAACATAAAATGCAGTCAACTGAGGTTACAGCTAATTTTTGGCATGGAATCAACTTCTCAGATTTTCAGCTAGAATAGATTGCTTCCAAATTCACATGCTGAAAAGTAAAGAAAGAAAAAAATTGAGTTTACAGTCATTGCAGCAGTAAATGCTGTATGGACCACGTGGACATCCTCTCTTGAGGACACTACTTTCTCAGACTCTAGGTAACTTAAAAGGAAAAAAAATGAATGACTGTGTTATCATCATCTGTTAGCCCACTGAGGAGTTTGGCCAGGTAATATCTTCTAGGAGGAAACCACAAGCCATCACACTAAAGGGTTTTCTACAGGGTAGGGCATGAGGTACTCACCATTATTCTCTAAAAACAAAAAAGAAGAGGTAGGGAGGGGGCAGGAAATGTGTCAAAGGAGAAGAATCAGAGAATCCTGCTTAGAGGGGACACTGCCCCTGAAGATTTCACGCCACTAGAATTCTTGGCTCAATTACGTTAAAAAATTATTCATTCAAGCCAACAATGGCACATAAAAAAAATTATTCATATGCTTTCTACTAACACAATCTACCCTGATCAGACTTCCTTCATCCCTGGCTCAGTTTTAATAATGTTTTCAACGTTTTATGTAAATATTAAAAGCCAATTCAAGTTCTATTTTAAAGATATCTCAGTGAGGGGTAGACGGGAGCAGGATCTGCTTCTTTGCCAAGGGCACTTTGGTTGCTATTTTCTATTTACATGAAAGGGTATATTTCCATGTCTTTAGCGGTTAGACAGGCATAAATGAATAAATTAGCATTTGCCTACATTTAAATGTTATAACCTAAACTGCTGGGCAGCTGACTCTAATTGATTTATTATTGCTCACAGTTATTGTCTGCCAACTAAAGCCAAATGTTAAGGTAAAAGACAAGCTACTAACCAAAAAAGTGATACCTCAGTGTCCTGGGTTTTAGGCTCAGAACTCTTCCTGTGAGCCATTAGGGATCAGGTGATACTGATTTTCTCTTGCTGCATGCTCTAGTAAGTCTCTTTGGCATGCACAGTCTATTCTCAGTCATCTACTTGAGGCTTTGGGCTTCTACAGGACATGAAATTGGGTTTTAACTCTAGTTTACCTCATTATCCAAAGGCCAGATACAGCCAAGTGTACTTAACTATTACCCAGAAGTCTCAGTGACTCCTATAAGAATAAAAGCCATGATACTCACATTGTCCCTTCCACCTATGAGCAGCTACCCTGGTGGCTTAAATACTGATGTGCTTTGGTAGACATTGCCCATCCTCATCGATACACAGATTTATCTTCTCACTCACTGGGCATTCAGAAGATTACAGCTCCCAGCCCTTTTGCAGTTAGAAGGGGACATCTGACTGGTTCTGGCCAATAAAATGAGAGAAATGACTTGTGTCACTTGTGGGCTGAGGCAATGACAAACTCCTGTGCAATTACTCAGCCTCTCTCCAGTTTCTCTTTTGCACTGATGGAGCAAGATGGTGGAGCTGCTGTCAGGCTGATCCCTGAGTGACTGACTGGGCAGAGCTCCATCACGACCACTCTACCCCACATTCCCCGCCTGCCATCTGCCCACTCACACTGGATGTGCAGCTGGAACAGAAAAAGAAAGCTTTACGGGATAGGCCACTGAGAAGTGAAGGCTAATATGTTACTGCAGCCCTAACATGTATTGGTTGTCACAATTACATGATGTATATCTCCAAGGAATTACTTCCGCCTGACTCCTACATCAACGTGTCTCATGATTCTCATGGGAAAAGCGACCTTCACTTATTCCCTCAAACTCAAGGCTTCAGCTTGACTTTAAAGGAGAGATAGGATTTGGAAGGTGAAGAAAGTGGAGAGATCATGACACACCAGAGAAACAGGTTGTTACTGTGACCATTCTAGGACATTGTATGATTTAATAAACACATTCCTTTGATAAAAATTGTTGATGAAAACCAAAGATGCTCAATTTCAGCTCCATCCTCCCTTAGTACGTAGGGGAGTGGACAACCACAACCCCAGGCCAAGACTCTCTATGAATTTACTAATTGGAAAGTGTTTCTCCCTTTCCACACTTAACTACATCAAGCCAGCTTCTTCAGTATTTGTGTGAATGCATAGTCCCCAGACAGGGACTTGGGCTATTCCAAAAGATCCATCTCCTACTTAAATTGACGTATTCCTATGCCCCCACCAGAAAATCTCTGACAGTTTTGGAACGGAACAGAACCAGACACTGTGGCCATGTCTATAGTCCCAGCTACTCAGGAAGCTGAGGTTGGAGGATCGCTTGAGCTCAGGAATCTGGAGCTGTCATGCTCTATGATCGTGCCTGTAAATAGTCACTGCACTCCAGCCTGGGCAACATAGTGATACCCTGTCTTTTAAAGAAAAAAAAAGTGGAACAGAAAAATGTCAAGGCTCACAGCTTCAATAGTAGTTGTTTATGTGTTCATGTATGTATGCCAGGAGTGGAAGGGTAATGTGTTTTGGGGATGTGTGTGTGTGCACCTTATAGTATGTATTTATATAGTAAGTGTGTGTGAGCGTATGTGTTATGAGAAACATCACTGTCATACTTACCACTATCCTAAGAAAGGCAATAGTAAGAAAAACAACACAATTTCTATATTTCCTTAGGGAAAAAAATTATTCAATACAATATTGTTTTAAGTGGAAAAACATATATTAGATAGAAAAATAAAATTATAGTACAATGAAATACAACATTTTTTAGCACTTAGTAAGTATCTTCCCAACACTGTATGCTATGGCCTAATGTTTGTGTCTGCCCCTGGCAAAATTCTCTTTTTTTTTTTTTTTTTTTTGTGTGTGTGTGTGTGTAGACAGAGTCTTGCTCTGCCACCCAGGCTGGAGTACAGGGGCGCGATCTCTGATTACTGCAACCTCCGCCTCCTGAGTTCAAGAGATTCTCCTGCCTCAACCTCCCAAGTAGCTGGGGCTACAGGCGTGTGCCACCACACCTGGCTAAGTTTTGTATTTTTAGTAGAGACAGGGTTTCACCATGTTGGCCAGGCTGGTCTCAAACTCCTGCCCTCAGGTGATCCGCCCACCTGGGCCTCCCAAAAATGCTGAGATTACAGGCGTAAGCCACCGTGCCTGGCCACCCTTGCAAAATTCTTGTATTGCAACCTAATTACCAATGTGATGGTAATTGGAGGTGGGCCTTTGGAAAGTGGTTAGGATGTGAAGGCAGAGCCCTCATGAATAGGATTGGTCCCATTATAAGAAGAGACTCTAGAGAGATGCTTTGCCCCTTCTACCACATGAGGACACAGCAAGAATGTGCCATTCTATAAACCAGGAAGTAGGTCCTCACCAGACACCAAATCTGTCAGCACCTTGATCTTAGACTTCCCAGCCTCCAGGACAGTGAAAAATAAAATTCTGTTGTTTATAAGCTACCTTGTCTATGATATTTTGTTATAACAGCCCAAACAGACCAAGACACCATTCTAAGTACCTTGTGTGTATTAGCTCATGTATTCCTGATAACAACCATGTGAGGCAGGAACTATTATCCTTATTTTATAAATAAGGAAAATGAGGCACAGAGTGGTTAAATAAGTTAGTTACCCAAGATCTCATAGTTTGCAAATGGTCGAGACAGGATTTAAATGTAGCAGTCTGACTTCAAAGCCCATGCAGGTGTAGGGATTGATACATACATAATACTCTGAGTTTGATTGATACGTACAAACAATTGAGTTTCCTTTTGGCAGCATCATAAGTCTGGAAATCATCCTACGTGGGCTGTGGCCAAATTCTTTTCACCAGGCAAAGCTTAAGTCCTCCTACTCACCAATGCCTTCTGCTATTTCTATTATGTGTTGAGCACTTTGGAGAAAAAATATATATTTTTTACAATTATTAGGCCCTTTATTTTTATTATAAAAATATTCAAACATCCCAAAAGTAGAGAGAATAAAATAATGAACTCCACATACTCATCATCATCCACCTGTTCGCAATCCAGTCACCCCTCTCAAATTCCCCCATCCTACCCACATTCTGTCTCTGTCCCCACCATGCCATTGAAACTCATCAAGGATTCCCATTGACCTCTTGAATCACAATCCAATGGATTCTTTCCAGCCTTTTTTCAACATCCTTCTTCTGATCTGTCTGAATCTCCTGCCACTCTTGAAGAGACACTCATCATATTAGTGTGATAGCTACCACTCTTTGAGAACTGTGTACCAAGCAGAGTGCTGAGCACTTTTTATACATTATCTCATTTAATTATCAAAACAGTGCTGAAGTAGGTACTGTTATGATCCCCATTTTCAAAATGAGGAAACAGACTGAGGCATAGAGAGGATAAGGACATTTGTCATAGGTCATACAATTAGGTAGACCCTGGGCTGGAAATGAGGTCTGTCTGACTCTGAAGCTCATACTATTCACCACTACACCATATGTTGAGTCTCTCTCTCTCATCCATGGCTTTCCATGCATCACTCTCTCCTAGAGTCATTTGGATCTCTCTCACTCCCCTTCCCCATCCCTTTTTTAATCTCATCTTCTTATGTCCATATGCTAATGTGCCCAGTAGTACTGCCCTCCAGGCTCCTCTTTCTTATATTCACTCCATCTGTGTGACCCTGTCCATACCAAGGACTTCAATTGCCACCATATGCCAATGACCTCTAATCTAGAATTCCAGCTCCAATCTCTTACAAAGGTTTCAGTTCCAGCATTCCCCCTATCTACTGGATATCACCGCTTCACTGACCCATAGGAGCCTCCACTTCAGCATGTCCATTTATCATCTTACCTTGGAAATTTACTTTTCCCCCTCAAGTGTTGTTGGTTTAGAGAAATTATATCACACAGTTATCCACCAAGCCCTATCGAACCTCTCTTCAAAACTTTTCTCAAGTCTGTCCTCTTCTCTCTATCCTTGTTAGTTTAATCCTACATCATTTTTCCTTAGATTATGGCAAATCCTTGATTATTGCCACATCATATCTTCCAATCCATTCTCCAAACATTTTTCAGATTGATTTTTAATGTAGATCTTATCACATTACCTGCCTGCCTAAAATATTTCAAAACTTCCTATTAGGCTTCCAGATAAAATCTATATTCCTTATGATGGTATACAAGGCCGTCTCTGGTCTAGTCTGGTCCCATAACACCTGTCAGAGTAGTACCTTACCACTACCTATTTGTGCTCAATTCTCTAGCCTGTTGTATCTCTCCAAAATTCTTCTTCGGTCCTATAATCTTTCATATTTTCATGTCCTTCTACGTAATGTCTAGATTGTTCTTCCAACCATTCCCTTTCCTGCCTCCTGCCACCATACATCAACAAAAGTTTACATATTATCTACCTGGCCAGTTACAGCTCATATTTCAAGATCCACCTAAGGGTTACCTTCAAGGACCTTCTCTGACCTCCCTCTCTTATCCCTAGTTCAGGTGTTGGGCCCCTCCTTGATGCTCCCATACCACTTAGACTTCTGAGGCAGATACTGTAAGTTGCCTACTCAAAATCCTTTCTGCTGTCTTTCTTACTATTAGTACTCCAATTCTGTTCAGTGTCTGATGTGTCCAGTTAAAAATACTCATCTCTTGGCCGGGTGCAGTGGCTCATTCCTGTAATCCCAGAACTTTGGAAAGGTGAAGCAGGGGGATCACTTGAGGCCAGGAGTTCAAGAACAGCCTGGGCAACATAGCAAGACCTAGTCTTTTAAAAATCTAAATATTAGCTGGGTGTGGTGGCACATACTTGTAGTCCCAGCTACTCAAGGGACAGGCAGGAGGATTGCTTGAGCTCAGGAGTTTGAGGTTATAGTGAGCTATGATCATGCCACTGCACTCCAGTCTAGGTAACAGAGTGAGACTCTGTCCCTAAATATTTAGAGACTCTGTCTCTAAAAATTAATTAATTAATTAAAAAATTATCTGAGCATGATGGTGCATACTTTTAGTCCCAACTTGGGAGGCTGAGGTGGGAGGATCACTTGAGCCCAAGAGTTTGAGGTTGCAGCAACCTAGAGTAGTGTCACTGCACTCCAGCCTGGGCAAGGGAGCAAGACACTGTCTCAAAAAATAAAAATAATTCATCTTCCAGACTCCCTTAAGCCAGGAGTGACCACGTGAGCTACTACACTCAATGATATGTAAGCAGAATCCTGTTGGATGGGCTTCCAAGAAAGCTATGCTTTTCCTAATAAAAACAGACTCAGCTGGCACATGTCCTCTGCCTGTCTTCCCTGTCTTCCTGCCTAGAACACAATCAGACCAACTATGAAGATGAAAGCCAGACACTAAGGATGGAAGAGCAGGAAGCTGGATGGAGCCTGGTACTGGATGACTTCCTTGAGTGCCAAACTTCCTCGCTCTGAACTTCTTTTTACATGAGAAAAATAGGTTTATTTTTAAACCACTGGGTTAAGCCTCTACTGTAGGGTTTCTGTTGCATGTATCCCAATTCTAACTGATAAACTCTCTCTATTTCCTTATCACTTATCACACTATATTCTTTGTAATTGCCTAGTGTCTGAGTTCATTAAATAGGGTCCATGACCACACGGGCTGTTTTATGACTCTCTACTTCGTCCTCATCTCACAGCCTCTTAGCTCACTTTTTAGTCCAGCCTTGGCCAAGGCAAGCACCAGGTGAAAACTGACAGCACATTATCTCAGCTGCACCACTGTCTCTTGCTTTCTACTATGGGCAATCTGCCTTTGCTTGGAGACACTCAGCCATTCTGCTTCTTGCATAACTTGGAAGTTGAGGGAGTTAACACTCCCAAGGGCAATCCTTATTCAGTAGATTGAATACCGCCACTTCCATGTCTCAAGGGGGCAGTTCTGAGGGGCATCCTACACAGCTTCTCAGAGGCCCCATGGAATTGAATTCCAGGTGCCCACAGTGGTAAACCAGCTCATAACACTTTCCTATATTATTTCCAAATCCCACTCCTGCTTATTTCCCAAAGCTCCCTACCAGTGAGATCTTGTCAGGCTCTGCTCTTGGGGTGAACCCTGGCTACGACAGTTGTGACTTCATATCTCATCAGCACTTAGGGTGGTACCCAATGATAAATACTGAATGAATAAACTTCTTCAATTATATCCCTTTGGGAGAACTGCTTTTTATTTCATTAACGCTTATAATCTGAGCAGATTCTGGGAAGATGATGAAGTAGGAAGCACCAGGAGTCTGTCTCTTCATTTGAACAACACTGCAGTGGTAGAATTTGTCTGGTGGAACTATTTAGAACTCTAGAGTCTATTGAAGGCCTGTGACTTCCTGTTCTTTTTTTTGGGAGTGAGACACTGAAAACTAGGACATTCAAAACAACTGCATAAAAGACTTGGAACCAACCCAAATGTCCATCAATGATAGGATGGATAAAGAAAATGTGGCACATATACACCATGGAATTCTATGCAGCTATAAAAAAAAGGATGAGTTCAGGTCCTTTGCAGGGATATGGATGAAGCTGGAAACCATCATTCTCAGCAAACTAACACAGGAACAGAAAACCAAACACTACATGTTCTCACTCATAAATAGGAGTTGAACAATGAGAACACATGGACACAGGGAGGGGAACATCACACACTGGGGCCTGCTGGGGGGTGCAGGGCTAGAGGAGGGATACCATTAGAAGAAATATCTAATGTAGATGATGGGTTGATGGGTGCAGCAAACCACCATGGCATGTGAATACCTACGTAACAAACCTGCACATTCTGCACATGTATCCCAGAACTTAAAGTATAATAAAAATAAAATAAAAATAAAAACTGCACATATGGGAAAAGTTGGCAAGTAACCACACATAACCGGGGAAAGTCACAGGCTCAGAAAAGAGCTGAAAGGCCTTAAGTTTACATCTCAGGCTGATCCTTGGCACAACAATCAAAATAATAAAGAATCAGAGAAAACAGCAAACCCTAGGAAGAGGGAAAATCTAATTTCAAAAGTTACCATATTATGAAATGCAAATATTTCAAAAAACTCACAAAGCATACAAAAAAACAGAAAAGTATGGCTCATTTAAAGAAAAAAATAACAAATCAACAGAAACCATTTCTGAAAAAGACCTGGTGGCAGATCTACTAGAGAAAAACTTTAAACAACTGTCTTAAATATGCTCAAAGAACTAAATAAGGACATGGAGAAAGTTAAGAAAATTACATATGAACAAAATGGGAATATTAATAAAGAGATAGAAGATACAAAAAGAAACAAAATTCTGAAGCTGAAAATTATAATAACTGAAATGAAAATTCAGTTGATTGAAAAAATGTTCATTCATTCAATATTCATCTTTGAACAAATATTTATTCAAAACTGGGTACTAACCTAGTGTCAGTGAGATATGAAGTCACAGCTATCTTAGCCCGGGTTCCCCCCAAAAGCACATATGAACAAGCAACAGAAAGAACCAGCAAACTTGAAGATAGGATGATAGAAATTAGCAAGTCTGAGAAAGAGAAAGAAAAAAGATTAAAGAAAAGTGAAAAGAGAGCCTAGGGGACCTTGGGACACTATCAAGTGGAACAAACTATGCATTGTAAAAATTCCAGAAGGAAGAGAGAGAGAGAGAAAACAAAAGGACAGAGACAATATTTCAATAATGGCTGAAAACTTCCCAAATTTGATGAAAGACATAAATATAGACATCCAAGAAGCTCAGCAAACTCCAAGTAAGATGAACTCAAAGACAGCCACACCAAGACACATAACCAATGTGTCAAAATTCAAAGATGAAGAGAGAATTTTGAAAGCAGTAAGACAGAAGAGAAGTGACTTGTCACATACAAGGGGTCCTCAATAAGATTACCAGAAGATTTCTCATCAGAAACTTTTGAAAATAGAAGAGTGGCTTAATATATTCAAAGTGCTAAAAGAAAAAAACTGTCAGCCAAGAATCCTATATCTGCCAAAACTGTCCTTCAAAAGTGATGAAGAAATTAAGGCGTTCCCAGATAAACAAAAGCTGAGGGGGGTTTTTACCACTATACCTGCCCCGCAATAAATGTTTCAGGAAGTCCTGCAGAGTTAAATGAAAGGACACTAGACATTAACTTGAAGCAATACAAAGAAATAAAGATCTTAGCAGAGTGTGGTGGCCCACACCTGTAATCCCAACACTTTGGGACATCATGGCAGAAGGATTGCTTGAGCTCAGGAGTTCAAGACCATCCTAAGCAAGATAGCAAGACCCAGTCTGCACAATAAAATGTTTAAAAATTAGCAAGGTGTGGTTGTGCATACCCGTAGTTCCACTACTCGAGAGACTGAGGCAGGAAGAATGCTTGAGTCCAGAAGTTTGAGGAGGCAGTGAGCTGTGATTGTGCCACTACACTCCAGCCTGGGTGACAGAGCAAAACCCCATCTCTAACCTAAATAAATAAAGATTTAATAGGCATTATAAGAGCTAGTATTATTGTAATGGTATAACTCCATTTTTTTATTTTCTGATTTAAGAGACTAATATATTAAGAAAACATATTAGTCTCGAAGCTAGTATTATTGTAACTTTGGTGTAACTCCATAATTTATTTTTTACATAAAAGGATAATTTATTTAATATAATAATTAAATTATTAATAAAATATTAATATTAAACTTAAAAATAGCATGTTTTGGAGTACAATGTATAAAACATAATTTTTTGACATCAACAACTAAAAGGGATGATGACAGAGCTGTTAAAGGAGCAGACTTATGTTATTTAAATTAATGTAGTATAAATTCATACTAGACTATTATAACTTTAGCATGTTAAATGTAATTTCCATGGTAACTACAAAGAAAATAGCTACAGAATACATACAAAAGGAAATAAGAGAGAAATTTAAACATTTTACTACCAAAAAAAAAATTTTAAGACAGTAGTGCAGGAACTGAAAGACAAAAAAAGCTATACACCATTCAGGAAACAAAGAGCAATATGACAGAAGTCCCTCCTTATCAGTAATTACTTTAATTGCAAGTAGATTAAATTTTCTAATCAAAAGACAGAGATTGGCAGAAAGATTTTAAAAACATGAACTAACTATATGTTCTCTACAAGAGAGACTCAATTTAGACTCACAGGCACACACAGATTGAAAGTGAAAGAGTTAAAAAAGATATTCCACGTAAATCATAACCAAAAGAGAGCAGGGGCGGCTATGCTAATATCAGATAAAACAGACTTTAAATAAAAAAAAAAAAAAAAGGTTAAAAAAGACAAAGAAGGACATTGTGTATTAATAAAAGAGTCAACACAGTAAGAAGACATAACACTTTTATAAACATGACAGACCATCAAAAATATATGAAGCAAAAACAGAATTGAAGAGAGAATTAATTCTACAGTAATAGTTAGTGATTTCAATAGCCTCTTCTCTATAAAGGACAGAACAACCAAACAGAAAATAAGGAAATAGAGGACTTAACACAAAATATCAACTAGATTTAACAGACATATACAGAACACTATACCCAACAATAACAGCAAATGCTTTCTTCTCCAGTGTACATGAAATATTTTCACCAAGATAGACCATATGTTAGGCCACAAATTAAGTCTCAATGTGTTTGAAAATATAGATAATATACAAAATATTGATGGCAGCAGCAGCCCATCTGGAGCAGCCACTGCCGTCATGCCAGCTGCAGTGGGGAGGTACAGCTGGGGCTGCATGCTCCATGGAGACAGCAGGAGCCAAGGACAAGCAGGAGCCCCACCTTTTCTGAGTTGGGATGGGAGCTCCCCAGGTGCTGCTGCAGCCACCCAAGCCACAGCTGAATACCTGGGCATCCCTGTGCTCTCAGAGCCTGGGAGCAAGTGGGAACCACACCTCACCCCACAGCTCCAGCCACCCAAACCATGGAGCAGGCAGGAGCTCTGCACACACACCCACACCAGGCACAGCTGCAGCTGCCCAAACTGTGGCTGCAGATTCAGGCATTCCTGCACTCTTGGAAGCCCAGGAAGGCCCCCCTGCCCTCACAGGCTCAGAAGTGCCTGCTCCCACTGCCTGGCTTCCCCCTGCTGTTGGCACCTGCTCCAATCTCAAAGCAAAGTCAGGGCCAAGCCCAGATGCTGTCATGGCCCAGCTGAGTTTGCACACACTCAGGGCAGTGCTGACACACCAGCCCCCTGACATCCCAGCCCCCTCCAAACAAGCATAGGAGGGAAGCCAAAGGGAGGCTGAAGGCAGCTCAGTGCTGGTCTGAAGGCACCCCTTAGCACCTACAGCCTGGGTGCCATCAATGGCAGCAAGAGGCAGGCAAGTTCCTGAGTGGAAGGGGACAGGTCCCCAGTGAGCCCCACCTTCAGGCCAAGGAGGACCTAAAGGCTGGGGGCTGGGCTGCCAGTCCCAGGGACCAGAGATGGAACTTGTGGTGCCTTTTCCGGGCCTGTCCATGACCACCCATGGACCAGTTGGCAAGCACTTCCTCCCCTCTGAGCCCCATAAAAGCCCCAGGCTCAGCCAGAACAGACATCAGGAGGACCAGCTTCAGAGTGGAGCTACCCACTCCAGGGTCTCCTGTCTGCTGAGAGCTGCAGAGACATTGGGACCACCAGCTGCAGAGAGAAGCTACCCACTCCAGGGCCTCCTCTCTGCTGAGAGCTGCAGAGACATTGGGACAACCAGCTGCAGAAACATTGGGACAACCAGCTGCAGAGAGGTGCTACCCACTCCAGGGCCTCCTCTCTGCTGAAAGCTGGGAAGACATCAGAATGACCTGCCTGCAGAGAGGAGCTTCCCACTCCAGGGTCTCCTCTCTGCTAGGAGCAGAACATTCATCAGGGCACCCTGGTTACGGAAAGGAGCTGCCCCTGAAGATTTCCTCTGATCTGTTATATCACTCAGTAAATCTCCTCTTTGTCTTGCTCACCCTCCACTTGTCTGCGTACTTCATTCTTCCTGGGCACAAGTCCAAATGGCAAGGCTAAAAGAGCTGTAACACAAACAGGGCTGAGACATACCCCCTTGCTTGCGACATTGTGAGAGAAGAGAAGGAAAGAAGAGCTATGGCTCTTCAGTTAGCCCAGACCTGGGAACTCCCCAAGCCAGGACTGTGACTCCCTCTTTGGGGACCTGCAGTTCCTGGCATCTCCAAGCCTCCAGGCATCACCATGTTTCCCCATTCCAGCCTTGGAAGCTGCTTGTGGTGTGCCTGGTCCAGCTGCAGCCTTGCAGAGGGCCAGCACCTGTGACAGCACCTGGAGCTGCCCACCCCATTGCAGCAACCAGCATGTCTGACTATGCAGTGGCCAGACCCCATGCTCACTCACACACCCCTGGCCATTCCATGTCTGATTCACCCTTGGCAGGCATGGGACCCAGGCCAGTAGGTCAAGTGCAGCCTGCCAAGGTGAGTTGGTGAAACAGCCTAGCCACAGAGGTTTCTAGCCAGAAAAACAACACCCTGAAGATCCTGTAACTGCATATTATCTGAGCACTTGGGACAAAGATCCTGTCTCTAAAAACAAAATTTTTTTTTAATTAGCCAGTCATGGTGGTACATGCCTTTAGATCCAGCTACTCAGGAGGCTGAGGTGGGAGGATTGCTTGAGCCAAGGAGTTCAAGGCTACAGTGAGCTAGGATAACACCACTGCACTCCAGCCTGGGTGACAGAGTGAGACCCTGTATCTTTACAATTAATTAAATAAAAATAAATGAGAAAGAAAAAAGAACAAAAGACCACCATCTCTTATGAACATTGATGCAAAAATCTTCAACAAAATACTAGCGAACCAAATCTTGCAGCACATTAAAAGCATTTTACACAATCATCAAGTGGGATTTATTCCTGGAATGCAAGGATGGTTCAACGTATTAGAATCCACCACTCTAATAAACAACATTAACAGAATGAAGGGGAGGGAACCACATGATCTTTTCAATTGGTGCAGAAAAGGCATATGACAAAATTCAATACCCTTTCATGATAGAAAACACTCAACAAACTGGGAATAGAAGGAAACCACCTTAACATAATAGAAGGCATTATGAAAAACCCAGAGCAAATATCATATTCAATGGTAAAACAATAAAAGCTTTTCTTCTAATATCAAGAACAGAGCAAGAATGCCCACTTTTGCCACTTGAATTCAACATAAAACTGGACATTCTACGCAGAACAATTAGGCAAGAAAAAGAAAAGACATCTAAACTGGAAAGGAAGAAGTAAAATTATCTCTGTTTACAGATGATATAATTTTATATATAGAAAACCCTCAGGATTCTAACAAAAGAAACTATTAGAACTAATAATGGAATTCAGCAAAGTAGCAGGATACAAAGTTAGCACATAAAAATCAGCTGCATTTCTACATACTAACAATAAACAATCTAAAAGGGAAATTATGAAAATTCAACTTACAATAGCATTAAAAAGAATAAAACACTTAGGAACTAACCTAAATAAAGAAGTAAAATATTTTACAATGAAAATTATGAATCACTGATGAAATTAAAGAAGACTTAAACAAATGGAAATGCATCCTATGTTCATGGATTGGAAGACAATATGGCTAAGACATCAATACTACCCAAAGTGATCTGCAGATTCAATGCAAAAACTACCAAAATCCAAATGGCATTTTTTGCAGAAATAGAAAAACCCATCCTAAAATTCATATAGAATCTCAAGGACCCAAAATAGCCAAAACAACCTGAAAAAAAGAACAAAGCTGGAGGACTCACATTTCCTGAATTTAAAACTTACCACAAAGCTATAATAATTAAAATACTGTGGTAGTGGCATAAAGCCAGACATATATACCAATGGAATAGAATTAAGAGCCCAGAAATGAACCCTGCTATATATATATGGTCAAATGATTTTTGACAAGAATGCCAAGACTATTCAGTGGGGAAAAGACAGTCTTTTCAACAAATAATCCTGGGAAAATGGGATATTCACTTGCAAAAGAATAAAACTGGATCCTTATCTAATCCATATTCAAACATTAAATCAAAATTGATCAGAGGCCAGGCACAGTGGCTCATGCCTGTAATCCCAGCACTTTGGGAGGCCAAGGCAGAGGATCGCTTGAAGCCAAGAATTTGAGAACAGCCTGGGTAATATAGCAAGACCTTCATCTCTATGATAAGTTTAAAAACAAAAATGAAACAATTTTTAAAATGTTTTAATGGATCAAAAGCCTAAACATAAGACTTAAAACAATAAAACCCTTAGAAGAAAACACAGGGCAAAAGCTTCACAACATTGGATTTGACAGTCATTTCTCAGATTTGACATCAAAGGCACAGACAACAAAAGAAAATATAGACAAATTGTACTTCCTAAACAATGTTTACATTTTGTACATCAAAAGATACTATCAACAAAGTAAAAACACAACCCACAAAATGAAAGAAAATATCATATCTGATAAGGGATTAATGTGCAGCATACATAGAGAACTTCTAAAACTCAACAACAAGAAGACAACCTGATTCAAAATGGGCAAAAGTCTTAAGGTGACTCACCTTCTTTGCGGGATGCCTGGGAGTTGCCATCTGCTCATCCCCATTGGCCTTAAAAAGCCAGTGGACCAAAAGGTGGCAGTCTTTTTTTTCTACAAACAGGAATTGGAAGCAGTGGCTGGCAGGCCAGTGCGATCTCTGGTTCCTGTCTATTTATGAGCCTACTCTCTATGAGTCCTGTGGTGGCCTCAGAGCTGGCAGAAGCACACTGGGTTTGTCCCTGCCTCCCTCCAACTATGAGTTGGGCCATACTAAACTGCCCACCATATTGAAAAAAAAAAGTTTTAATGGGCAAAAGATTTGAACAGACATTTCTTTAAAGAAAATACACAAATAGCCAATAAGCACATGAAAAGATGTTCAACATTACTAATCACTGGGGAAATGCAAATCAAAACAATGAGATATCACCTCACACCCATTAAGAGGGCTACTGCCAAAAGAACAGAACAGAACAGAAGTGTTGGAGAGGGTGTGGAGAAATTGGGACCCTTGTGTACTGTTGGTGAAAATGTAAAATGTTACAGCCGCTGTGAAAAACAGTATGACAGTTCCTCAAAAATTTAAAAATTGGATTAACTTATGATCCAGGAATTCTATTTCTGTACCCAAAAAAAGCTGAAAGCAGGGCCTCAAAGGATATTTGTATACCCATGTTGGTAGCAGCATTTTTGAGCTAAACCATGAAAGCAACCCATGGTCCATCAATGGATGAATGGATAAGCTAAATGTGGTATATCTGTACAATGAAATATATTTCACCTTAAAAGGGAAGGAAATTCTGATGTCGGCTACAATATAGATGAATCTTGAGAACATTATGTGAAGTGAAATAAGCCAGTCTCTAGCAGACGAGTACTGTATGATTCCACTTATATGAGGTATTTAGAGCAGTTCAAAATTATAGAGTCAGACAGTAGAATAGCGGGTGCCAGCAGCTGGGGAAAAGGGAATATGGGGAATTATTGTTTAATGGATACAGAGTTTCAATTTTACAAGATGAAACATGTTATGGAGATGAATGATGGTGATGATTGCACAACACTATGAATGCATTTAAAAATACTGAACTGTGTACTTAAAAATAGTCACGATGACAAATTTTTTGTTTCATGTATTTTACCACAATTTATCAAATGGGGAAACACTTTATAATCATTTGAAAGGATAGGAGTGCTCATAGGGGTGAAGTTTAGAAGCTACTAACTACAACATAAAATACTAATAACAGAGGAAAAAGAAAATCATTAACAGCAGCATCTAACCAGATTTCAACCAATGGGGTTTCATAATTCGTTATGTTCAACTAAATAGGGATCCCTGAACTGTCAATATAAAATTTATTGTCCTAAATGCAATTACACTGTAAGCACTGTTAAACCTTGGGATATTGATTATTTGAACATTTAGACAAATAAAAGTATTAAAATATTATAAAAATTAAAAGACTCAGTTAAGAAATCATAACATCTATGAATATACAATCATGTTTTCCCTGAAGATATGACTTCAGTCCCAAAATAAATTTTCAAATATAAAACAGCTATAATAATGTTTCAACCAATAACTTTATATTACCATAAAATTGGAAGAGAAGTAACTAGTTTTTAGGATAATAAGAAAATGTTAGTAATAAAGCATTATTAGGAAATATGCAGCAACATTCTGTTACCATGGGCTTTGTTTTTAGATCCATGATTTGATAAAAATTCATATGTCCCTTTCTATTTATTTTAAAAGAGATAAAAACCTACCACAGTAAAATGCCTCTAGGTCTATGCCTAGCGCCTTAGAAATAAAAATTTATTATCAAAGGATGGCTAAAGCCTCAGCTCATCCAAAGAGCTCCTCCTACTGTTCCAAAATATAAAATGAGTCTGAAGAGAGGAACTTTAACTGAAGAACCAGAGCATGACAAAATCAAGGCATAGGAACCAGAAGAGTTAAAGCCCCTGAGTCAGGGCTGAGATTCTGATTCTTAAACAGAAGGAGCTAAAAGTCAAACCCTGACAGAGACAAAGCTTCTAAGTTCATTCTCAGGGCTTTCCCTTCCCTTAAGCTGCTTTGTCTAAAAACTGTGCTCACCTGCAAATTTGCAGGGGCTTTTTGGTAATATCTGAACTCAAAGAAATGCAGCTCTAACAAGAAAATACCAAGCACGTGACAGAGTGTGGGAGAGAATTTTTGAACAAAGCACCTCTTCCCATTATCCCCAAACACTCCAAGGCCAGTGTCTACTCTGCACACAAATCATCTTGAAGGAAGTGAAAGATATATTCAGGTATAAAACAATTATTTTTTAAAAACAAGTTGTTAGTAATAAGTTTCTAACAACTTAGAATTAATGTATCAATGTCTGATTAATTCAAATTCTTAGTCTCTGACATTTTTGGCAAATGGGTAGTAGAGTTTGTTTTTCAGTCTATGGGCATGAGAGCCAATGCCTGAACCACAAAGAGAAAACAGTAAATGTGTTAAATAATAAAGGTTGGAAGGTTATACACCAAACTTAACACATGAAAAGATGAAAAGCTGGCGATGAAATAAGGTGTTTTTCTTTCTACTTGATATAATTCTATATTAGTTGAATTTTTTATAATAAGCATGTTTTTATGTAAAACTTCTGAAATTTTATTTTTCAAAGAGTCATCTAAAATAATAATATTATCTGCAACATACTTACCCATCTAGGTAATAATCCATGCTCTCTATTTGGTCACTTTGTTCAGTCATCCCACAGACTAGCTCCTTTGGGGCACCAGTCCCCAGAGCAGGCACTGCAGAGGCTACAAAGACAATCCTTGTAATAGCAAACATTTATGGAGTGCTATGTGGCAGGCACTGCCTCAAGAACTTATCAGAGCTATCTCATTTAATCCTCACCCAATTATGTCAGACCCACTCCTCAAATGAGGAAACGAGGCACAGAGCAGTTAAGTAAATTGCTCAAGACCTCAGCTGACACCGATGGAACAAGTTGTTTGGCTTCAAGCTGCATCTTTAATCAGTATGCTATTTTTCATCCCTGAAGGTGAAAACCCTTCCCAATCTCTGAAGGTTTACAGTCTAGTTGGAGAGAAATGTAGAAACCAATCACATATCATAGATGGTATGATAAAGGCACACACAAAGAAAAAAGAAGAAAGCTTGATTGAGTGTGGGTGGGAAGGGTGAGGAGTGTCAAGGAACATTTCCAAGAGGAAGCCCCCAGCAAAGCCAAGAGCTGGTCTCCTCACAAGAGCTGAGGGAGGGGAGGGTAATGAACATCTACTCCACACCTGCCACTTACCAGGTGCTTGGCGAGTGTATTAGTCTGTTTTCACGCTGCTAATAAAGACATACCCAAGACTCAGCAATCTACAAAAGAAAGAAGTTTAATGTATTCATAGGTCCACGTGGCTGGGGAGGCCTCACAATCATGGCAGAAGGTGAAAGGCACATCTCACATGGTGGCAGACAAGAGAAGAAAGTTTGTGCAGGGAAATCCCCTTTATAAAACCATCAGCTCTCGTGAGACTTATTCACCATCATGAGAATAGCACAGGAAAGACCCACCCCCACGATTCAAATACCTCCCACTGGGTCCCTCCCACAACATGTGGTAATTATGAGAGTTACAATTCAAGATGAGATTCGGGAGAGGACACACCCAAACCATATCAGTAAGTGTTAACACAGATCATCTCATTCTAGCCCCATAATACGCCCTATGAACTATGTGTTGTCTCTCTTTTACTGATCAAGAGACTAATCCCCTAAAAATAAAATAACTTGTCTAAAACTGAACAATTATTAAGTGCCAGAGCCAAGAACGAACTTTTGTCTAGCTCAGAAGCCCATGCTCTTTCCTCTCCCACCTCCCCCCACTATACACACACACACACACAAGCACACACACACATGCGCACACACACACACAGAGTAGGAGGAGAAGAGGAAGGAATAGCAAAAAGACATTAAAAACATCCTGTAAAAGGCTGGGCGCAGTGGCACACGCCTGTAATCCCAGCACTTTGGGAGGCCGAGGCAGGCAGATCACGAGGTCAGGAGATCGAGACCATCCTGGCTAACACAGTGAAACCCCCGTCTCTACTAAAAATACAAAAAATTAGCCGGGCGTGGTAGCAGGCACCTGTAGTCCTAGCTACTCGAGAGGCTGAGGCAGGAGAATGGCGTGAACCCGGGAGGCGGAGCTTGCAGTGAGCCAAAATCGTGCCGCTGCATTCCAGTCTGGGCGACAGAGTGAGACTCCATCTCAAAAAACAAAAAAAAAAAAAATCCTGTAAAAACAAAATGGTAATTAATAATAATAAAATAGTAAGTTAAAAATAATATACAGTGAGTCTCCATTGGTTAAATAAAATAAAATAATAATAACAAAATGGTAATAATAAAAATTAATTAATTTAATAATAACAAATAAGCATCCTGGCATGAGACATCTCCATGCTCTGAAAGAGATCTCTTAAATAAGTAGGAGGCCATTGGTCTGAGGCCATCTCCATACCTTGAGTTCCTACAAACAAATTGCAACTTAGTGAGTAAACAACTGAAAATCTAACTTTGGAATATAACAAATGGTCAGTCTTGGCCAACCATAGCAGCTGAGCTCCAGCCAATCACAGGCTGCCACCTGCTCAGATCATGTTCAAATAGGGCAAATATCAAGCTGTAGCAAGTCAAGCTCTTTCTGCACTTCCCTTTACTGTGTAAACATACTCACTTCCAACTGTGCTTAGTGAGCTCTCTGAACTTTTGCTGGTTCTAAGTACTGCCAATGCATGAATTATTTTTTGCTCAAATAAACTCTGCTAAATTTAAGTTGTCAAAGGCTTTTATTTTAACAGACAAAGCTATCCAGCCACAAAGTGAACTATCATAAGATGAACTTCCAGTCCTGGAAATGTTTGTGCAAATTTTTAACATCTGTCAGCCTGTCCTGGAAGGCCCAAGGTGAAAGTCTGGACTATCCAACCTCTAGGGGTTCTTAAATCACAGTGGGTTTCTATGGTTACAGTTACCCTGAGAAGTTAAGTAGAGCCACAAAATAAAGTTCCACTTTAGACTGGTTTTTGTTTCTGTGGCTACACTGTCAGTTCTCTGAAGAGAAAGGTTGAGTTTCATCCTCTTTGTTAACCTCACTCTTCTCAAGGTCACTCATGACCATTGAGAGACAAACCTGATGGCTATCTCTCTGTTCTCATCTTACTTTACCTCTCTGCAGCACTATACTCTTCCTCCCTAAAACACTTTTTCTATCGATTTCCATAGCTACACCTCTCCATCTTCCTGCCTGTTACACTGGCTGGTCCTTCTCCTTTTTTTTGCTGCTCCTCTTCCTCTTCCCAACTTCAACAATGTTGTGACTTGGAGACGCAGTTCTGCACCACCTTCTCTTGGATCTATACTCTCTCCCAACATCAGCTGGTCATGGCCCTGATCTTCCAATGCCACCTATATACAAATAACACCCAAGTGTGTATCTTCAGCTCTGACTTATCTGATATCAGTGTTTTGATGCCCAGTAGGCATCTGAAACTAAGCACATTCAAATCAAATCCTTAATTTCCACCCCCTAAACCTCTTCTTTCCCATCTCAGGAGATTGTTCAGGACAAAGACCTCTTTCCCTCAATCCCCACATCTAATCCATCAATATATCCTGTGGTTTATCTCTCTAAAATATATTTTGGAATCAACTACTTGTCACCATTTCTACTATTTCCACCTTAGACCAAGACCCTGGACTTACCTGGCTTACCTGAAATAGCCCTGGTGCTCTTCCTGCACCCACTCTTGCCTGCACAGTCATTCTCCTCACAGCAGCTAGAATTGCACGTACAATAAAATCTAAACTCTTCATCGAGATCTTACAAGATCCCAGATGGTCCAATCCCTGCCTGCCTCTCCTTGCTTATCTTCCATTACCCCTCCTTTGCTCACCAGGCTCTGGCTACAAGAGCTCCTTCCAGTACCTTGAGTATGCCAAGTTTGCTCCTGCCTCCGGCCTTTGCACTTGTTTCCAATGACTGGGGTGCTCTTTTCCTTCCCCTTCTCTAGCTGATTCCATTTTCTTAAATAATACCCCCTCAGGGATGCCTTTTCCACCCCACACGTGTCACTCTCTATTACATTAATCTATTTTATTTTTTATAGCCTCTTTGTTAACTTGTTTATTGTCTTTATTCCCAGGGAAAAGTAAACTCTAAGAGAGCTGGGACTTCACCCATCATGTTCACCAGTGACCCACTACCTAGAACAGTGCCTGGCATAAAATAGGTGCTTAATAAATGCTTTTTAAAGAAATTCAATATAAGTATTAAAGAAAGGTTTTTGTTTAACTGAATCTACTGATGACTTTAAGCCACAACTGGAGTTAAAGATGTTTAAAAAGCATTGATTTCTGTTATAAACAAGTGACTAGAGAGTCCCCAGTTGCCCATGTTGCCCCAACAAGTTTACAATGGCTCTGCTACTAGTAGTGCTGAAAGAGATAACAACCAGTAACTCTGGGGCTCAACTTCTTTTGTTTTGCATTCCCAATCTCTTAATGTAGGAAACACAGTTTAAATGATGAATCTGCCTCTTTCTTCCAGGCTCCCCAGTGTTATTATTTGAAATGAAGGGACACCAAGCTTTAGGCCAAGATACGAATTATCTCATTTATATTGTCAGATGTGTGTCATGTTCCCCCAGGGGAACTATCCAAAAGTAATGTCATGAGCCACTTGCAGTTTCATATGAAACATCTCCACATGGACATCCTCTGCAATTTCTAGTGAGTTTGTAGTTCCATTGGAGGCACATTTTTTAGAAATGTTCATTATTTTTAGATATTAAAGCAAATCTCATAAGGAGGATTAAAGATTAGGTGTTATCAATGTAAAGAGAAAATAATCATTCTTTATCACTACTGCATTGTGTGAAAAAATGACTTCCTTTCATTGAGTTTTGGTTTAAACCACTATAGTGAAATTGGCTTCTAAAAAATTGTCTCAGGTAACTTATTTATAGTCATAATATGGAAAAATACAATTTGCCATCAGTAGCCTATCATTTCTACACTTCTCAGTTATTTGTGACCTGAATAAATAAGGCCTATGGCTTAATAGGATAAGAATGCTGCTAAGATATGTAGAAGCAAAGATAAACCCCCTTCTCTGTCCTCCCCAAGAATATGAGATGGAGGTGCAAGTCACGATCCTTTCAAAAAAGCAAGGCTGCACACCCAGAGCCTTTCTAAGCAACGCCCTACTTCGAAGGGACACATACAGTGAAGTGCTGGGGCTGACTTAAATAAGGTGATACAGGGAGGAAAATCTTTTTTTGTTATAAGTATCTGAATACCTCAAGAAAAAAATATTACAAGATTGTGTTATTGGTTTATTGTTCATCATCTTCACATTTCCCCTTGCATATCCAAACACAGCTGAATATTTCATTTCCAACTCCCCTGTTAATGTTACAACTACAAATTAATTTCATTTCCTTGTTGGTAATATGTTACATTGCTTGATAAGGTTTTAAAAGATTATTAGAAAAAGGTGCCAGAACAGTGCAAAATATCATCACATCCCTAAAGAAGAAAGGCTAGAGATCTCTGGCATAGTAGTAACTTGCCAGCCTTCAAAATTACTGAAAAACAACTGAAATTTTTAGTCTATGAACTTCAAATCCTTTGACCAATCCCTTGATATAGATATCCACAACCTTCATTTGCTTTTGTTTATCTAACAAATGATATAAAGATGTGATGTGCTGATGAGATGAAATGGAATGTGTGTGTGCATTTGAATGTGTGTGAAAAGGAAGACACCTGTTTTCCTAGGATGTGTCAAAGATGTACGATTCTTAATGACTTCTATCTGGGATTTACTTGTATTCAAATGTTTAAGTTTTTCATCCTTCCAAATATCTAAGCCATACTAAATTAATGGAAGAAAGTGGTAATTGTTTACTAGGGGAACAAAACAGAATGTCACATTAAGAAATCATTGGAAACCCTGTTATCCATGACCACCATCCTACGCTAAAAATTAAAGAAAGAAGAGCACTGGAGTTAAAGTTACATTCCCACTCAAACCAAAGACATTTTTGCCTCTTCATATAAACTGTAAACTCCTCTCTCTCTCTAACAGGGTTTGTGTCATATCTCTGGATTCTATCCCAATGCCCTACAAATTGAAGGTACCAAATACCTATTTTCTTTTTTTTATTATTATACTTTAAGTTCTGGGATATATGTGCAGACTGTGCAGGCTTGCTACATGGGTATACATGTGCCATGGTGGTTTGCTGCACCCATCAACCCATCATCTAGGTTTTAAGCCCTGCATGCATTAGGTATTTGTCCTAATGCTCTCCCTCCCCTTGCCCCCACGCCCAAACAGGCCCCGGTGTGTGATGTTCCCCTACTTGTGTCCATGTGTTCTCAGTGTTCAAATCACACTTATGAGTGAGAACATACAGTGTTTAGTTTTCCATTCTTGTGTTAGTTTGCTGAGAATGATGGTTTCCAGTTTCATTCATGTCCCTGCAAAGGACATGGGCTCATTCTTTTTTATGGCTGCATAGTATTCCATCATGTATATGTGCCACATTTTCTTTATCCAGTCTATAATTGATGGGCATTCGGGTTGGTTCCAAGTCTTTGCTATTGTGAATAGTGCCACAATAAACATACATGTGCATGTGTCTTTATGGTAGAATGATTTATAATCCTTTGGGTATATACCCAGTAATGGAATTGCTGGGAAAAATGGTATTTCTGTTTCTAGATCCTTGAGGAATCGCCACCCAAATACATATTTTCTAAGAATGATGATAATAATGAACTAACTCCTCTAATTCCTACCAGAAAATATACTCCATACATAATTAGACCCATGTTTTTCAAAACATGTTTCACAAAAGGTGTATGCCTTGCCACATGGATGGTAGTTCTACTAAAAATGGGAGGAAAAGAAAAATTATTTAGCTAAATAAGATTGAGAAACCTAAGCATAAAGTTAAATAAGTTGCATTACCACATAATTTCTTAAGAAATTTTAAAACATTTTTGTGCATTGTGAAACTCTAAGAGACAGTTAAAATTTGCAACATTTCCCATAATTGTTTGATAAGGAAAACTTATGAAACCTTGAATGGTACCAGTGTCTTACAGACCAAAGTTTAAGAAATGCTACATTAGATGAATGTTGAGTGCCCACTATACACAAGGATAGTGTTCATTGAAATATATCCTTTCTTTCAGCCTTGGGGATTTTTTCATCTGTAAACAGATGATAATAACACCTACCTCACAGGGTTGTCATGAAACTGGAATGAAATCAAATATATGCAATGCCAAGGCTAGCACAAAGAGGGCCAAAATGAACTCTCCTTCTCTGTCCATAAAGGCATTACTGTGGGGAAAATGAAATAGTCCTGAATTTTACTGCACTTATACACACCTCTGTATAGGTTTGTATGCCTGGGGACAGAAATGTATCATATGACACTTCATTGTCTGGTTCAGGAGTTAAGTCAGTCCAGCCATGGCCATCTCCCACCCAACTAGATTTAGTTCCTTAACTTCACAAGCCTCCATCCACCACTGCCTTCCTTAATTAGACCTATGGTCCCTCACACACAGTCAACACACTTGTAAAGACCCAGGCATTCAAGCATAAACCAGAAACATAGTACATCCAGTTGCCAAAATGGTTAAGTACTTTTTTAGCGAAGGATCTTAAGCAAATATATATATATATATATGTTATTTAGGGTCATGCAAGTGCTGAACAGTACACTAGAACTGCTTTTAGTTTCTAATCTTTTAACAACACTGCATGGCAAAGTTGATTAAAATAAATATTTAAATAAAATCTAAGTTGAACAAAGCATTACAAAAATGTTTAAGCCTCAAGTGCACGCAGCCACAGAATATGCTCTTGGACATTGCTCCCTGAAAGGGCTGCTATCCCCCGCCTCCTTGAAGGCACCCATGTCAGGGGTTGCCCCATCCAGGGAGCTGGTCCCTAGTTAAGAATATGAGCATGTGTGCGCAGAAAGGCAGGGAACAGCACGAACAGCCACGCTTCTAGAAGGTTCTAGGGAGAGGGCAGGAGCAGCGCAGAGGGAATAGGAATGAGCAGGCAGAGGACCTGGGGTCACGAGACCGTTGGGTGAAGAGGAGCCAGTGGCCAGGAAGGTTCTAGTGTGTTCTGTCTCCCGGCAGCCGCCTGCTTCTACGAGGTCATGCCAAGCCAGCACCTGGGCCTGGAACCAGCCACAGCCCCTTAGCTTTGCCCACCGCCTCCCGAAGTGAACACGCTTCGGGCCTTTGTGAAAATGTGTAAGCAGGATCTCAGCGTTCTGCACACCAAGGAAATGTGCTTCCTGAGGGAGTGGGTGGAGAGCATGGGGAGTAAAGTGCCACCTGCTAGTCAGAAAGCTAAATCAGAAGAAAATACCAAGGAAGAAAAATCTGGTAGTAAGAATGTGGAGGAAGACTTAAAGGCAGATGAACCATCCAGTAAGGAAAGTTATCTAGAAATTAATAATGAAGGTGTGATTGAACCAGACACTGATGCCCCTCAAGAAATGGGAGATGAAAATGCAGAGATAACAGAGGAGATGATGGATCAGGCAAATGATAAGAAAGTGGCTGCTGTTGAAGCCCTAAATGATGGTGAACTGCAGAAAGCCATTGACTTATCACAGATTCCATCAAGCTGAATCCTCACTTGGCTATTTTGTATGCCAAGAGGGCCAGTGTCTTCATCAAATTACAGAAGCCAAATTCTGCCATCCGAGACTGTGACAGAGTCATTGAAAAAAATCCTGATTCCACCTAGGACACAGGAAATTACAGAACATCGGAGAAAGTATGAGCGAAAACGTGAAGAGCGAGAGACCAAAGAAAGAATAGAAAGAGTTAAGAAGACTCGGAAGAGCATGAGAGAGCCCAGAGGGAGGAAGAAGCCAGACAATAGTCAGGAGCTCAGTCTGGCTTTTTTCCAGGTGGCTTTCCTGGGGAAATGCCTGGTAATTTTCCCAGAAGAATACCTGGAATGGAGGGGGCATACCTAGGATGGCCAGAAGGCCTGGACCCAATGAAATTCTTAGTGATCCAGAGGTTCCTGCAGCCTTGCAGGATCCAGAAGTCATGGTGGCCTTCCAGGATGTGGCTCAGAACCCAGCAAATATGTCAAAATACCAGAGCAATCCAAAGGTTATGAATCTTATCAGTAAATTGTCAGCCAAATTTGGAGGTCAAGCCTAATGCCCTTCCGATAAATAAAGGCATTGCTGAAGGAAAAGCAACCTAGATCACCTTATGGATGATGCAGTAATACAAACCGGTGTACCTCTGACCTTCTCATCAAGAGAGCTGGAGTGCTTTGAAGATAATCCCTACCCCTCTCCCCCGAATGCAGCTGAAGCATTTTACGGTGGTTTGCCATTAGAGTATTCATTCAGATAATGTTTTCCTACTAGGAATTACAAACTTTAAACCCTTTTTAAACCTTAAAAATATGTAAAACAAATTTAAAGGGTCTGTTAATTCTTATATTTTTCTTTATTAATCATTTTGGATTTTTTTATTTGAATTATTGGGCAGGGAAAATACTTATGTATGGAAGATTATTGCTCTAATTTGAGTGAAATAAAAGTTTATTAGTGCGAGGCAAAAAAAAAAAAATGTTTAAGCCTCTTGTGATGCACAATTCATCAGTGATACATTAGTGCCCTCTGCTGCTGGCTGAGTTTTCCAACAGCTCAGAATTTCGGTATGGCTTTTCTTTTTCTCCTTTTTTTTTCCTCTCTCTCTCCTCTTCTTTTAAGAACATTGCAGTGTATTGTTTTGGTTCAACATTTTACACATAAATTAATAAAATTAGTAGAATGGTAATCAGGATGCATGGGATTATTTTAAATTATTATTGCTTGTGTTTCGACATCAACGCAAAGAAATTTCTTGATCAAAATTACTTAGAGATTTCATATTGAGCTGCAATCACGGAACACAGCATACATTATTGCTCCTTAATTGTAAAATATTCTATAAAAGGTAACTTATGTAGCTGGCCTGATAGCATATCATATAGGTTCCAATTTTTAATGATTATAAATATAATAATTTACCCCTCATTTTGCCTGGCTTATTTCTTAGGGTTGCCAGATTTAGCAAATAAAACTATGTCCCAGGTACTTTCATGGAACCTATTTCTACTAAATACTTATACTAAAAAATGCTAAATTCTTAGGTAAAAAAAAAATATTTACAGTTGATCTGAAATTCAAATTTAACTGGATTTCCTGTATCTTACCTAGTGACCTTATCTATTCTCATGTGTGCTCTGAATTTCATAATTGAAATTCTTTTCTGTTATGATAATCAGAGTTTATCCTACCGTAATAATGACTAAAACCAAACACATTTCTTTATTTTCTATTTCTTTCCTCACATTTTGTGAAACGCTGAGTAGGTTTTCACATAACAATGCTTAATGCACAAATTGACATAACAAGGTTTGTTAGTCATGAGATTAAAAGCATTTGTTCTTAAAAGAAGAGTTATTTAATTAATGGATGGATTAAGTAAGAACAATCCTGAATTCCTCAACTTCCTTTATGGAGCAACAAACATACTATATAAAAAGCATATAAAAATTCCGTTTTACGAATGGTAAGTTTGAAAGTGAGGCCACCCAGATGCAACATTATGCTAAAGCAGTGATTCTCAAGCTTGCACAGCTGAACTTGTGGAAGTTTTTTGGGATTTTGTGTGTTTGTTTTTGAGACAGATTCTCACTCTGTCACCCAGGCTGGAGTACAGTGGCACAATCACAGTTCACTGCAGCCCCGAACTCTTGGCCTCAAGCGATCCTCCCACATCAACTTCCCAAGTAGTTGGGACTAGGTGCACCACCATGCCTGGCTAATTTTATTTATTTATTTATTTATTTATTTATTTTAGAAACACGGTCTCACTATGTTGTCCAGGCTGGTCTCAAACTCCTGGCCTCAAGAGATCCTTCTGCCTCAGGCTCCAGAGTCGCTAGTATTACAGGTGTGAGCTACTGCGCCTGGCCAGAGAGTGCTTCTTGATTTTAATATACACATGAATGAAACAGATTGATCTAGCAGAATCTGGGCATTTCTAATTAGCAACTAGTTGATGCCATTGCTGCTAAGCCAAGGACCATACTTTGAGAAGAAAGATTTTAGAAGAGACCAAAAAAGAAAAAGCAATTTGTTTCAAAATGGAACTGTATAATGTCTGTGAGAATTGAAAATGCAGATTACTTACCACCACATTACTGCCAGAATGTAATGATAACTGCCACAGAAACGAAGGATGGGAGCGGAGATGAAAGAAAACGATTAATCGTCCTGTGGTGGTGTTCAGTGTGCCATCTTCAGTTCCTTTATCGTTTTCTGTCACAGTATCTCTCACTGGCAAAATGGAATTAATATTTGCTCCCTCACTACTTTTTCAGAATTTGAGAATTTGCATTAGATCATTTTATATGCAGCATCCCAAATATGCAGTAATTTAAAGCATACAAGTTTAGACCACATTAGAATTGAGTTCATAGTTTATTTCCATCAGACCTCTTTTAACCATTTTGGTCTGTTGGAGTTTAAGTAGCAAGATGCAGATTGTGCAACCATGTGGAGCTGATCAAATCAACCCCTGAAAGTGTAATTGGTAAATCTCTTCAAGTGCTTTTGAAAAATTAATCAAGACAGGTTTGGTGAACCTTTGCTGAGAGTGTCATTAGGACAAATGACTTGGTTCCCAATATATTATCATAAAGGAAAACTCCAGCTGCAAATCCCAAGGTGACCCATTTATCTCACTTGAATGGAAAATAATGACTTTTTAAGCACTGCAAATAATTCCGCTGGTTTAAAATCAATTTGGTTAATACAATTAAATAGAACTATTTGATCTTTCAGGTTCAAAAACCACCAACTTGACTCAGACATTAACATTTTAATATGGAAACAGCCACCATAATCTTCCAATGCCCTCAAAAATGGTTTATAGGGACACGTTGTAGAAAACAGTGCATATAACATTGTCTTTAAAATCTTTCCAGAATTAATAATATAAACTGGTATTGAGGTATTCTGCCTTAAGCATTCATATTTCACCTCAAAGCCAATGCCTTTTTTTTTTTCACACAGTCTCACTTTGTCACCCAGTCTGAAGTGCAGTGATGTGATCTCTGCTCACTGCAACCTCCATCTCCTGGGTTCAAGCGATTCTCCTGCCTCAGCCTCCTGAGTAGCTGGGACTACAGGCATGTGCCACCACACCCAGCTAATTTTTGTGGATTTTTTTTTTTAATACTTTAAGGACTGAGATACATGTGCAGAACATGCAGGTTTGTTACATAGGTATACACGTGCCATGGTGGTTTGCTGCACCCATCAACCCGTCATATACATTAGGTATTTCTCCTAATGCTATCCCTCCCCTAGCCCCCTACTCCCCAACAGGCCCTGGTGTGTGATGTTCCTCTACCTGTTGTGTTCTCATTGTTCAACTCCCACCTATGAGTGAGAACATTTGGTGTTTGGTTTTCTGTTCCAGTGTTAGTCTGCTGAGAATGATGGTTTCCAGCTTCATCCACGTCCCTGCAAAGGACATGAATTCATCCTTTTTTATGGATGCATAGTATTCCATGGTGCATATGTGCCACATTTTCTTTATCTAGTCTATCATTGATGTGCATTTGGGTTGGTTCCAAGTCTTTGCTATTCTGAATAATACTGCAATAAACATACATGTGCATGTGTCTTTATAGTAGAATGACTTATAATCCATTGGGTGTATACCCAGTAATGGGATTGCTAGGTCAAATGGTATTTCTGGTTCTAGATCCTTGAGGAATAGCCACACTGTCTTCGACAATGGTTGAACTAGTTTACACTCCAACCAACAGCGTAAAAACGTTCCTATTTCTCCACATCCTCTCCAGCATCTGTTGTTTCCTGACTTTTTAATGATCACCATTCTAACTGGCATGAGATAGTATCTGATTGTGGTTTTGATTTGCATTTCTCTAATGACCAGGGATGATGAGCTTTTTTTCATATGTTTATTGGCCACATAAATGTCTTCTTTTGAGAAGTGTCTGTTCATGTCTTTCTCCCACTTTTTGATGGGGTTGATTTTTTCTTGTAAATTTGTTTAAGTTCCTTGTAGATTCTGGATATTAGCCCTTTGTCAGATGGATAGATTGCAAAAATTTTTCTCCCATTCTGTAGGTTGCCTGTTCACTCTGATGATAGTTTCTTTTGCTGTGCAGAAGCTCTTTAGTTTAATTAGATCCCATTTGTCAATTTTGGCTTTTGTTGTAATTGCTTTTGGTGTTTTAGTCATGAAGTCTTTGCCCATGCCTATGTCCTGAATGGTATTGCCTAGGTTTTCTTCTAGGGTTTTTATGGTTTTAGGTCTTTCAATTAAGTCTTTAATCCATCTTGAGTTAATTTTTGTATAAGGTGTAAGGAAGGGGTCCAGTTTAAGTTTTCTGCCTATGGCTAGCCAGTTTTCCCAACACCATTTATTAAACAGGGAATCTTTCCCCATTGCTTGTTTTTGCCAGGTTTGTCAAAGATCAGATGGTTGTAGATGTGTGGTGTTATTTCTGAGGCCTCTCTTCTGTTCCATTGGTCTATATATCTGTTTTGGTACAAGTACCATGCTGTGTTGGTTACTGTAACCTTGTAGGAGCCTCGTAGTATAGTTTGAAGTCAGGTAGCACAATGGCTCCAGCTTTGTTCTTTTTGCTTAGGATTGTCTTGGCTATACAGGCCCTTTTTTGATTCCATAGGAAATTTAAAGTAGTTTTCTCCAATTCTGTGAAGAAAGTCAATGGTAGCTTGATGGAGATGGCATTGAATCTATAAATTACTTTGGACAGTATGGCCATTTTCATGATGTTGATTCTTCCTGTCCATGAGCATGGAATGTTTTTCCATTTGTTTGTGTCCACTCTTATTTCCTTGAGAAGCAGTTTGTAGTTCTCTTTGAAAAGGTCCTTCACATCCCTTGTAAGTTGTATTCCAAGGTATTTTATTCTCTTTGTAGAAATTGTGAGTGGGAGTTCACTCATGATTTGGCTCTCTGTTTGTCTATTACTGGTGTATAGGAATGCTTCTGATTTTTGCACATTGATTTTGTATCCTAAGACTTTGCTGAAGTTGCTTATCAGCTTAAGGAGATTTGGGGCTGAGATGATGGAGTTTTCTAAATATACAATCATGTCATCTGCAAACAAAGACAATTTGATTTCCTCTTTTCCTGTTTGAATGTCTCCATTTATTTAAATCTTCCTTTTGTAAGCAATTTTTAATATTTTTCTTTTTTCTTGTTTATTTATTTAAGACAGAGTCTTGCTCTGTTGCCCAGTTTCTTTCTCTTTATTTCTTTCTCTTGCCTGATTGTTCTGGCCAGAACTTCCAATACTATGTTGAATAGGAGTGGTGAGAGAGAGCATCCTTGTCTTGTGCCAGTTTTCAAAGGGAATGCTTCCAGCTTTTGCCCATTCAATGTGATATTGGCTGTGGGTTTGTCATAAATAGCTGTTATTATTTTGAGATACAGTCCATCAATACCTATTTTATTGAGAGTTTTTAGCATGAAGGGGTGCTGAATTTTTTCAAAGGTAGGCCTTTTCTGCATCTATTGAGATAATCATGTGGTTTTTGTCATTGGTTCTGTTTATGTGATGGATTACATTTATTGATTTGCATATGTTGAATCAGGCTTACATCCAAGGGATGAAGCTGACTTGATCTGGCTGTGACATCTGTCACCCTATTGATGGCCAGGGTTGATTTGGCTGATCTGGCTGGCTAGGCGGGTGTCCCCTTCCTCCCTCACTGCTCCATGTATATTAGCCCTTTGTGCACTCGGTCAAAGAGGATGACCATCCCTGATAGAGGAGGACTGCAGTCTTTGGTCAAGGGTATAGGAGTAGCTGCACTCCCTTGCTAGAACCTCCAAACAAGTTCTCAAAACAAAATTTTTAATTAGCCAGTTGTGGTGGCATACACCTCTCTCCCACCCACTCAAGAGGCTGAGGCAAGAGGATCACTTGAGCCCAAGAGTTCATGGTTACAGTGAGCTGTGATTGTACTGCCACATTCCAAACTGGGCAACAGAGCAAGACTCCGTCTTAAATAAATAAACAAGAAAAAAGAAAAATATTTAAAATTGCTAAAAAAAAAAAAGGAAGATTTAAATAAATTGAGACATATTCTATGTCCATTAATTTGAGTGTTCATAATTTGGAAGACTTGATACTGTTGAGAATTTTCCCCTAATTGATCTATAGCTTCAGTGCAATCCCATTCATAAATCTCAGCAGGCTTTTTCATAGAAATTGACAAGCTGATTCTAAAATGTGTATAGAAATGCAGAAGACCTAGAATGGTCAAAACAACCTTGTAAAAGAAAAACAAAGCTGAAGGACTTACACTTCTGACCTTAAGACTTACTATAAAGTAACCAAGACAGTGTATTACTGGCTTAAACATAAATAAATAGATCAGTAGAACCAAATATAAAATCTGGAAATAGACCCACACATACATAGTCCATTGATTTGCAACAGACACCAAAGCAATTCAATGAGGAAAGTATTTTCAGCAAATGGTTCTAGAACATCTGGACAGCTATAAGAAAAAGAGTAAACCTGAACTCTTACTTCACACCATAAACAAAAATGAATTTCATATAAATATTATAGACTCAAATATAAAAGCTAAAACTATAAAGCTCTTAGAATAAAATGTAAAAGACTATTTTCACAACTAGGAGTAGACAAAAATTTGTTAGGACACGGAAAGCAATAACCACAAAATGTTTTTAATTGGTAAATTAAACTTCAAAATTAAAGAACTCTGCTCATTGAAAATGTTAAGAACATGAATAGGCAAGCCACAGACTGGAAGAAAATATTCATGAAACATTTATCTGATTAAAAAAACTTTTAAGTGAAAATACAAAGGCTTTTTATAACTCAATAGTAAAAAGAAAAACAATCGAAGAAAAAATGGGCAAAATATTTGAACAGACACTTTTACAAAGGAAATTTATTTTAAAATTTAAAATTGTCTGATAAACACAACAAAATTGTTTAATATCATTAGTTATCAAAGAAGTGGAAATTGAAACTACAATAAGAAACCACTACACACCTACTAGAATGACTAAAATTAAAAAGACAACTGACAATATTTGTTAGAATATAAGAGAAAATAGAACTCACATACACTACTGGTAGGAATCTGAAATAACACAACCACTTTGGGAAAAGGTTTCTGTTTCATTTAAAGTTAAATATACATATATCTTTTGACTCTGCTATTCTATCATAGGTATTTTACTTATTTGTGGAAAGGAAAACATATCCACAAAAAGACTTGTACAAGAATGTTCTTAACAGCCTTATTTACAACACCTAAAACTAAAAACAACCCATTATATATAAACAGGAGGATGAATAAGCAAACTGTTTTATATTCATACCATGGGACATGTCTTAGCAATAAAAAGAGAATGAATTAATAATAAATGCAATAATAGCAATGAAACTCACAGACATGCTGGGCAAAAGAAACCTGATACAAAAGAAAATATATTTAATGATTCCATGTGTATGAAATTCTAGAACAGGAAAAACCAATCTATGGTGAAAAAAACTTAGAAGAGTGGTTAGCTGGATGGTGGGAAAGAGGGAAACTGAGAAAAAAGAGGAAGGAACTTTCTGGGGTGATGGGGTGTTCTAAATTTTATGATGTGGGTTACACAAATGTACATATTGTCCAAATTGTATAGTTATTATTTGGGTATCTCACTAGAGGTGAAATTTACCTTTAAAAAATGAATGTGATGTGGATAGTGGCTGAAAGTATAGATTAAACAAAAGGGCAGAATGTTGATAATTGTCAAACCTGAGTCATGGGTGCAAGGATATTTATTATTCTTGGTTTGCTTCGTAAATGTTTGAAATTTTCTACAATAGAGTTTGTTTAAACTGGTAGAAATGAATTAAAGGTTAATATGCACTGAATTCTAATTGCAATAATCTTCTATTTTAACTAAAACTGTATGAGAACTGGCATAACCGCACAGTTTTTGCTAGGCAGAAAATTGAGTGCTAAACAATTAAGAAACCATTGTTTTGTTCATTTGTGCCCTTGGGAGAAGGAAGAGCAGAGTGGAGAATGAAACAGAATAATGTTAGTCTGTAGCAATCAGACCATGCTATTTCAACTATTCACCTTCTCAAGAGGATAGTGATATTCAGCCAAGATATTACCAAACCTAGTTATTTGTTCATTAAACTCACTTCAGAGAAATGCCCTAAGTGTATAATTAATAAATGTTAATTTATATTAATGATAAGATTGCACTTGAATTTTTTAACTTTTTTCTGAATTTAAAATATTCGAGAAGCAAGAGCCAAGCATTCTGCTAATAAGCCTGCATTTTTCTTTCATTATTCTCTTTCTTCTTTCTCTTCCCTGCTGATTTCTACTTCTAACTTTTGCAATGCGAGTGTTACAGTCCCCAAGAGCTGAATTTGGTTCTATAGAAATTACCAAGTAGAATATCTGCAGTTTTATTGAACAACACTGTTTATTCAACAGGTACAGATGTTAAGTTAGAAGGAAAACAAAAATTGTGTGATGCCCTAAGTGGCAAGTGGCAGCTTCTCTGAGTGCTAACTGCATTCATGCTACCTCATAACCAAAGTGATCAAATACGAGGGGGGGGAAATTACAATGAGCCAAAAACACTCTCCTAACATAATGCTTCAGAGTCCCAGAGCAAAGGTCAAAGTGACACGCACACTCCAAATCTGGATCTGTAGGGTCAAAGCCATACCAGGCAGCCCACTAATGGGGCCACCTATTAGTAGGAAGCCCTGAGGAGCCTCAGAAGAGTCAAGGTGGCTGGACTCAGATCAGGGCTCACTAGGAAACTACAGCTCCCATTCATTCTCCCAACCACTGCATGAAAAGGGACTCAATCTGAAGAAAAAATAGACATTGTACCCATTCAATAAGTATTTATTAAACACTCACTGTCTACTATGTGCTGATGTAGGCACCAGGGATACAGGAAGGACCAACATGAGCTGAGTCTTTGTCACCATGGGGAACAGCTTCATCAAGGAGGAAGTGCAGGGTGATCTGGGGTATGTAATACAGCATATATTTGAGGATATATAACCTGTGTTGAGACCCAGGTTGGAGGCTCAAGAAAAAATGTCCAGAAAAAGTAACATTTAAACTGAAACCTGGAGTATGAGGAGGAGATAGCAAGTCAACTTACTATCTTAACTATTTTTAAGTGTACAGTTCAGTGGTATTAAGTACATTCATACTCTTGTGTAACCACCAGCACCCTCCATCTCCAGAACTCTTTTCATCTTTTAAAATTAAAACCTCATACCCATTAAACAATAACTCCCCATTCTCTTCTCTCCCAAGCTCTGAACCACCTTCTGTATCTAATATTTTGACTACTGTAAGTACCTCATATAAATGGAATCATAAAATATTTGTCCTTTTTTGTCTGGATTATTTTACTCAGTATAAAGACTTCAAGGTTCATCTATGTCATAGCATGTGTCAGAATTTCCTTCCTTTTTATACATAAATAATATTCCATTGTGTGGATATACCACATTTTGCTTATCCATGCATGCATCAATGGACACTTGAGTTGCCTCCATGTTTTAGCTATTGTGAATGCTGCTGCTGTGAACATGGTGCACAAATATGTCTTTGAGATCCCACTTTCAATTCTTGTGAGTAACACCCAGAAGTGGAATTTCAGGATCATATGGTAATTCTACTTTTAACTTTTTTCTTTCTCTTTTTTTCTTTATTAAGACTTTCAGATAAAACTATTTTTAACTCTTTGGGAAACCACTATGCTGTTTTCTATAGCAGTTGTATCATTTTACATTCCCACCAACCATCCACAAGGGCTCCAATTTCTCCACGTCCTTTTCAACACTTATTTTCTGTTTGTACTACTATTTTGGTAGTAGCCATCCTAGTAAGTATGAGGTGGTATCTCATAGTTTTAATTTGCTTGCATTTCCCTAATGATTAGTGATGTTGAGCATCTTTTCATGTGCTTATTGGTCATTTGTATATCTTCTTTGGAGAAATGTCTATTCAAGTCCTTTGCCCATTTTTGAATCAGGTTGTTTGGCATTTTCTTCTTGAGTCTTAAGGGTTATCTATATATTCTGGCCATTAATCTCATATTGGATACATGATTAGCAAATATTTTCTCCCATTCTGTGGGTTGTCTTTTTCATGAAGTCCAATTTGCCTGTTTTTTCTCTTGTTTCCTTATGCTTTTGGTTTCATATCCAAGCAATCATTGCCAAATCCAATTTCATGAAGCACTTCCCCTATGTTTTCCTCTAAGAATTTCATAATTTTAGCTCTTGTATTTAGGTAGCAGATCAATTTGGAGTTAATTTTGTATATGGTGTTAGCTAAGGATCCAACACTATTCTTTTGGATGTGGACATCCAGTATTTCCAATACCACTGGTTGAAAAGACTGTTTTTTCCTCAATTGAAGAGTCTTGGCACACTGTTGAAAATCATTTGACCATGTAAGTGAAGATATATTCCTGAACTCCCTAGTCTGTTTCATTGATCTGTATATGTGTCTTTATGCCACCACCACACTGTTTTGATTACTGTAGCTTTGTGGTAAGTTTTGAAATCAGGAAGTGGGAGTCCTCCAGCTTTGTTCTTTTACAGGGTTGTTTTGGCTATTTTGGTCCCTTGAGATTCCACGTTCATTTTATTTTAATTTTTTTTTTTTGAGACAAACTCTCACTCTGTTGCTGAGGCTGGAGTGCAATGGTGCGATCTTGGCTCACTGCAGCCTCGACCTCCAGAGCTGAAGCAATCCTTCTGCCTCAGCCTCCCAAAGTGTAGAGATTACAGGTATGAGCCACCATGCCATATTAATTTTAGAATGAGTTTTTCTATTTCTGCAAAAAAAATTGGAATTATGTAAGGGATTGCATTAAATACGTACAACACTTTGGGCAGTATTGACATCTTAATGTTATTAAGTTTGCCAACCCATGAGCATGGTGTCTTTCCATTTATTTACATCTTCTCTAATTTCTCTCAGAAATATTTTGTAGTTTTCATTGTTTTTTCACAAGTCTTTTACCTTCTTGTTTAATTCCTAAATAATTTATTCTTGTTGATACTATTTTAAATTGAATTATTTACTTAATCTCCTTTTCAGACTGGTTTTTGGGGTTTTTTGAGACAGAGTCTCACTCTGTTTTCCAGGCTGGAGTGCAATGACGTGATCATGGCTTACTGCAGCCCAACCAATGTTCCCACCTCATCCTCTCGGGTAGTTGGGATTACTGGCACACACCACCATACCCTGCTAATTTTAGTAATTTTTTGTACAGACAGGGTTTCACCATGTTGCCGAGGCTGGTCTTGAACTCCTGAGATTAAGTGATCCACCCATCTCAGCCTCCCAAAGTGCTTGGATTATAGGTGTGAGCCACAGTGTGCCCAGCCCAGACTGTTTATTATTAATTTATAAAAGTGCAGCTTTTTGTATGTTAACTTTGTATCCTACTACTTTGCTGAATTTATTTATTTGTTCTAATAGTTTCTTTGTAGAATCTTTAAGGTTTTCATATTATCTGTGAGCAGAAATACAAGACAATAGAAGATAAATATCATTTGTGAGCATAAACAATTTTAATTATTCCTTTCTGATTAGGATGCCTTTCATTAGATGCTTTTGTCTTACCTAATTGCTCTGGCTAAAACTTCTAGCACTATATTGAATAGAAGTAGTAAAAGTGGGCATCCTTACCTTGTTTTTGATCTTAGAGGAAACACTTTCAGTCTTTTACCATTGATTATGATGTTCTGTATGAGTTTTCATTAAGGCTTCTATTATGTTAAAGTAGTTTCTCTCTATTCCTAGCATGTTGAGTGTTTTTATCATGAAAGTGTGTTGAATTTTGTCATATGCCTTTTCTGCAATAATTGAAATGATGATGTGTTTCTTTTCCTTTATTCTGTTAATGTTATGTATTATAATGGTGAATTTTCATATGTTAAGGCATTCTTGTATTCCAAGAATGCATCCCACTTGGTCATGTTTCTAATCCATTTATTATGCTGCTGGGATTAGTTTGCTAGTATTTTGTTGAGGTTTTTTGCATCGATGTTCATAAGGAACATTGGTCTACAGTTTCTTTTTTTATTTTATTTTATTATTATTATACTTTAAGTTTTAGGGTACATGTGCACAATATGCAGGTTAGTTACATATGTATACGTGTGCCATGCTGGTGTGCTGCACCCATTAACTCGTCATTTAGCATTAGGTATATCTCCTAAATCTATCCCTCCCCCCTCCCCCCACCCCACAACAGTCCCCAGAGTGTGATGTTCCCCTTCCTGTGTCCATGTGTTCTCATTGTTCAATTCCCACCTATGAGTGAGAATATGCGGTGTTTGGTTTTTTGTTCTTGCGATAGTTTACTGAGAATGATGATTTCCAATTTCATCCATGTCCCTACAAAGGACATGAACTCATCATTTTTTATGGCTGCATAGTATTCCATGGTGTATATGTGCCACATTTTCTCAATCCAGTCTATCATTGTTGGACATTTGGGTTGGTTCCAAGTCTTTGCTATTGTGAATAGTGCCGCAATAAACATACGTGTGCATGTGTCTTTATAGCAGCATGATTTATAGTCCTTTGGGTATATACCCAGTAATGGGATGGCTGGGTCAAATGGTATTTCTAGTTCTAGATCCCTGAGGAATGGCCACACTGACTTCCACAAGGGTTGAACTAGTTTACAGTCCCACCAACAGTGTAAAAGTGTTCCTATTTCTCCATATCCTCTCCAGCACCTGTTGTTTCCTGACTTTTTAATGATTGCCATTCTAACTGGTTTGAGATGGTATCTCATTGTGGTTTTGATTTGCATTTCTCTGATGGCCAGTGATGGTGATGTATATACATATATATATATACTTCATGAAATTAAAATTTGTTTCTTTGAAAAGATCAAAGATTTTATATATATATATATATATATATATATATATATGGCACACACACACACACATATATACACACCTACACATATATATATACACACACACATATATATACACACATATATATACACACACACACATATATATACACACACACACATATATATACACACACACATATATATATACACATATATATGTATATATGTATATATATAATGGATAGACCAGCCAGCCAGATGATAAGATATATATATATACACATACATATATACATATATATATATATATATATATATACACACATATATACACATATCACTCTTATCATCTGGCTGGCTGGTCTATCCATTATTCAGAGGGGAAATATTGATGTTTCCAACTATTATTGCAGAACTATTTCTCCCTTTGAGTCTGTCAATTTTTGCTTCTTATACTTTGTCATTAGTTGTATAAATGCTTATAATTGTTATATCTTCTTGCTGCATTGAACCTTTTTATTGATATACACTGTCCTTGTCTCGAGTAAGATTTTTTTTTTGTCTGATATTAGTGTAGTCGCCCCTGCTCTCTTTTAATTACTATTTGCACGGAATAACCTTTTCTATCCTTTTGCTTTCAATCTTTTTGTGTCTTTGGATCCAAGATGAGTCTCTTGTAAGCAGCATATAGTTAAATCCTTATGGCTTGGAGAGTTTAACTCATTTACATTTAAAGTAATTGCTCATAAGGAGGGATTTCTATCAATTTGCTATTTGCTTTCTATATGCCTTATAGCTTTTGTTGCCTCATTTCATGCATTACTATCTTCTTTTCTGTTCAGTTCATTTTTGTAGTGAAATCTTTAAATTCCTTTCTCATTTCCTTTTGTGTACATTATTTAGCTATTTTTTCTGTGGTTACCATGCAGATAACATTTAACATCATAAAGTTATAACACTCTAATTTGAATTTATACTAGATTAACTTTAATAACATATAGAAACTCTACTTCTTTAACAGCTCTATCCCCATCCCTTTCCATTGTTGATGCTGCAAAATTACATCTTTAATAGTGTGGGTCCAAAAACATACAAATTTTTAATGTGTTAGTCTCTTAAATTATGTAGGAAACAAAATATGGAGTTACAAACCAAATTACAATAATACTTTTAGAGTAATCATTGTTTTTTTAATGTATTAGTCTCAAATCACGTAGAAAGCAAAGGTAAAATTACACATCGTTACAATAATAGTGGCTTTTATAATTGCCTATGTGTTTACCTTAACTGAAATCTTTATTTCTTCATACGGTTTCATGTTACTATCTAGTCATGATTTCAACCTGCAGGACTCTTTTAGCATTTCTTGCAGGACAGATCTAATGGTAGTGAACTGCCTCTGCTTTTGTTTATCTGGGAGTGTCTTAATTTCTTACTCACTTTTGAAGGGCAGTTTTACCAGATATAGGATTCTTGGTTACCAGTTTTATTCTTTTAGCACTTTAAATATATCAGTCTACTCTGCTCTGTTAAAAGTTTCTGATGATAAATATGCTAACAATCTTATTGAAGATCAGCCTTTGTATGCAACAAGTCAATTTTCTCTTGCTGCTTTCAGAATTCTCTCTGTATTTGTCTTTTTGTATGTACTGCATTTTATTACATAAAAGTACAATTAGTAAAATAATATACTAATAATTTAATTAACTTTAATATAATTTTAACTAGAATTAAGAATGTTTTTCTCTCATGATAATGCAGAAGAATATTACTCTGAACACCTACCTAATGTATCACAAAATAACCACAAAGAGCCTTTTTAAGATATTCATCATGCATTTTACATTTTAATGTCATTACTCCTCCATAGAAAAGGTCATAAATAATGTCCACCTAATAAAAAAGAATCTGTCATGTCTTTAATGCAGAAACAATTTATCACATGCTTTCACATGTAAACACAATAGGAATGAAGAAACAGCATGAAGTAATTTTAGAGTTGAATTATATCATTATTGAATTTTTTTTTAAAGTAGCAGATTTTTCAAAAAAAGTATACTTTAAACATAATTATAACTCTTCAAAAAATCTTCTACTCCTTTTTCATTATATACAAATAATTTGTCTACCAGCTTTGGTTTTGGATTATTTTCTCTACTCAGTACTCTGATTTAGTGTAATGTCTGAAGTGTTGGTGCCTTAGTTATTTCTACTCTGAATTCTCTGATATTTACATAGTTTACTGCATCTGCAAAATTATATTTTAGTATAAACTCTCTGGTATTTTTTAAGCTGTAGTTATTAAAAAAATGTTTTTCCAAATTTATTACATTTGCCGGGTTTTTCTTCAATATAAATTCTTTGATGTTGAACAAAGTTTAAGCAACTGCTTCAGGCTCTTCTTGTAGTAAAAATGTGTACAATAAGATCTGTGATACAAGTAAAGGTGCTACAACCTTCTTTATATCTATAATGTTGTCTTCAAAATACATAGTTTTCTTCACTTTAAAAGCTTATATTTTCTGAAAAACATTTTTGACAGTAATTGCACTTACAATGCTTTCACTAAGTATGAACTCTCTGATAGTAAGATGTGAACAGATATTAATGGCTTTTTTACATTCTTTTTGTTTGTTAATTTTTTCTCAAGTATAAATGCTTTTCTGTGCAATAAGGTGTGAGGATTGGTTAAAAGTTTTGCCACATTTTTCACATTTGTAGGAGTTTTCTCCACTATGAATTATCCGACCTATAATCAAGTGTGACAACCATTTAAAGGCTTGTCACGTTCTTCACATTTCTAGGATTTCTCATCAGTATGATTTATTTTATGTTTAGAAAAGTTTGAAGTGTTGCCAAAAGCATTGTCACATCTTTCAGGTTTGTAGAATTTCTCTCCAGTATGAATTATCTTGCGTCTCTTAAGAATTGAGGATTCACTGAAGGATTTGCCACATTCTTCACACTTGGAGGTTTTCTCTTTAGTATAAATTTTCTTATGTTTAGTAAGGTTTGAGAATTGGTTAACAGCCTTTGCCACATTCTTCACGTTTGTAGGGTTTCTCTCCCATATGAATTACTTATGTATAGTAAGGTGTGAGGACCAGTTAAAAAATTGGCCACACTCTTCACATTTGTAGGGTTTCTTTCCAGTATGAATTGTCTTATGAATAGTAAGGTGCGAGGACTGGTTAAAAAACTTCGCCACATTCTTCACATTTGTAGGGTTTCTCTCCAATATGAATTATCTTATGTTTAGTAAGGCCTGAGGACCAGTTAAAGGCTTTGCCACATTCTTTACATTTGTAGGAATTGTCTTTAGTGTAAATTCTTTTATGTTGAATTAGGTGTGAAAGCATGCAAAATGTTTGACACACATTTGAAAGATTCCTTTCTAGTATGTCTTATCTTATGTCTATTTGAATTTGAAAATTTATAAAAAAACTTTCACACATTTATCACATTTAAATATTTTGCTCTCATTAGTTGTCAAACACTGGTTAAGTCCATTATGACCTTTTTTGTGCACCTTACACTCATCCACACTTTTATAACTTTTCTTAACTGTAAATTCTAATGTTCACATTTTCCATATCTTCTCAGTATAACTTTTTGGAAAAAAAACTTCCGTGTCCTACTCTGGCCAAAGGTCTTGGGCAAAAGAAAAACATAAAACTGGGGGTTTGGCTACCATTTCATGTCTCTTCATATTCCAGGGCTTTTTTTCTTTTTTTTTTTCCTCCAGACAGGTGATCAGGTCTGGCTTAGAGACAGCAATATACTCAGGAAGACCAGGTTTCTGTAGTTCCCTAACATCACATTCCTATATAAATTCTGCTGTGCAGTGTCCAGGCATTGCCATTCCTCCAGAGATAATTCTATGGCCACCTCCCTAAATGTCAATGATCTCATTTCTAGGCTTCCAGGGGGTCCTGGCATCTTAGCAGTGGATCTCCCAATACCTGCAGGTCACAGGGCCACAGAGGCTGGGCCTCTAGAAGCAGAAGAAACAGAGAAGTAAACACAAGACTGGGAGCTCTGGCTGCAGTGAGAGACAAAGGCCTGTGTTTGTCTTTTGACAGTTTGATTATAATATGTCTCAATGTGGCTATCTTTGAGTTCATCATACTTGGAGTTTGTTGAGCTTCTTGGATGTTTATATTCATGTCTTTTATCAAACTTGAAAAGTTTTCAGCCATTATTTCTTCCAATATTCTCTCTGCCCCTTTCTCTCTTCTGCTGGAACTCCTACAATGTATATATTGGTCTGCTTGATATTGTCCCATGGGACTCCTAGGCTGTGCTTACTTTTCTTCAATCTTTTTCCTTTCTGTTCCTCAGACTTGCTAATTTCCATTGTCCTATCTTTGAGTTTGCTGATTTTCTTCTGCTTGCTCAAATCTGCCTTTGAATCCCTCTAGTAAATTTCTTATTTCAATTATTGAACTTTTCAGCTTCAGAATTTCTTTTTCCTTTCTAGGTTTTCTCTTAATATTCCTATTTTGTTTCTACATAGTTTTCTTAACTTTCTCCATGTCTTCCTTTAGTTCTTTGAGCATCTTTTGCTAGTTCTTTTTTAATTAAATTTTTATTTTTAATTTTTGTGGGAACACATTAGGTGTATTTATGGGATACATGAGACATTTTGATACAGGCATGCAATGCATAATAATCACATCTGGATAAACAGGGTATCCCCCACCTCAAGCATTTATCCTTTTGAGACAAGAAGTCTTCTTCCAATCTAAGGTTTTTCTAGATTGAATGGTTCGTGGTCTCAAGGGCTTCAAGGAATGAAGCCATGGACTGCAGCAGTGAGTGTTACAACTTGATTAGAGAAACGCACGGACCCCAAGAGTGTGCAGCAGCAAGATTTATTAAAGTGAAAGTGAAAGTAAAGCAAAAGTAAAGCTTCCACACGGTGGAAGGGGACACGGAAGAGTTGCCGTTTTTCGCTTGGGTATCTTATGCTTATATCCCCTTATAACCCCTCCTCTTTTCCTTTTTCTGTCCTATAGAATTAGCTTATTTTTCAATCTGCTTGCGGGTTGGCAGGCCTGATTGGTTAAAAACATCAGGCTGCAGCTAGAGCTTAAACTCCCTATGTGACTGGTTGAAGTTCAATCCCTTAGCTTGCAGCTGTGACTCATTTTGGCTTAGGGGAAAGTCCCCTTAGGGACGTCCCTATTGACCCAGGAAGTCCAGACAATTTAGCCCCTCAGTCCCTCACTTTGTGATATGAACAATCCAATTATACACTTTTAGTTATTTTTAAATGTACAATTAAATTACTTTTTACTACAGTCACCCTGTTGTGCTAGCAAATACTGTCTTGTTCATTCTATTTTTTTGTACCCATTAGCCATCCCCAATTTCCCCTCCCTTACCCTCATGCCCCCACCCCCACCCCACTACCCTTCCTAGCCTCTGGTAACTATCATTCTGCTATCTCCATGAGTTCAATTGTTTTAATGTTTAGCTCCCATGGGTGAGAACATGCAAAGTTTGGCTTATTTCACTTAACATAATGACCTCCAGTTTCACCCATGTTGCTGCAAATGACAGGATCTCATTCTTTTATATGGCTGAATGTACTCCATTGTGTAGGTTGCTTCCAAATCTTGGCTATTGTGAATAGTGCTACAATAAATGTGAGCGTACAGATATCACTTGATATACTAATTTCCTTTCTTTTGGGGATATACTTAAGAGTGAGATGGCTGGATCGTGTGGTCTTTGAGCATCTTTAAGACAATTATTTTAAAGTTTTTGTCTAGTAAATCTGCCAACAGGTCTTTTTCAGGGACAGTTTCTGTTTGTTTGCTTTTTTCCATAGAATGGGCCACAATTTCCTGTTTCTATCTCTTGTGATTTTTGTTGAAAACTGTACATTTTAATCTAATAATCTGGTAAGTCTAAAAGTCAGATACTCTCTCTCCAGGGTTTGCTGTTTTGTGTTTTTATTTTTTTTGTAAGCTATCCCTGTGCTGAGGATCAGTCTGAGGTATAAAATTAGGGTGTTTTCAGAGCTTGCACCTTCCCCTGCACATGTACTGTAACTTTCTAATTTCTCTTGTATATGAGGTTACTTTTGAATGTCATAGTCTTCAGTGTCTGGCTCCCAAAGGGGGGAAAAGAGAAAAATGAAGAGCACAGGAAAAACAAAAAGGCACCAGCCTTTTAAATAACCAGGAAGTCACTTCAGCCAGAGGGTAGGGGGAGCTTGCAACAATGGAGGGAGGTGAAACCACAATGTCCACCTCTGAACCTCTGTAATCAGAAGCAGCAATTAGCAATCAAAGCACAGATCTCCACTATTTGGAGGACAGAGTCTTTTTTTATCCACCCTGGCTCCCACAACCTGCATGCAAGCTGCTCCAGGAACATGTGCACACCCACCTGCCACAAGGATAGGGGATGGGGGATGGGTAGCTGCTACTGTGCTAAGAACTAAAATTGACCAAAATGAACCACAATTTAATATCCAAGCTTTTCCCTGGACGTTGCAAGCCTTCAATAGACCCAGAGTTCCAAAACAGTTACATCAGAGAGGTTCTACTACTATAATTTTTACCTAAGTGGGAAGACAGATTTCTGGTGCTTCCTTCTCCATTATCTTCCCAGAATCCTCAAATTTTGTTTTAAATGTTTGACAAGGCTTCAGGTATTACTTTATAATTTATATTTAATAAAATTTTAACTCAAGAGAATGAATCCTGCTAGCTTCAGTCTTTAAACCTCTAATCAGTCACATCTACACATAGGCATCATCACCTATCAATCTAGACATAGGCCAAATGATGTTTGCTAGGAGCGGGTTAAAGATGCAGCTGCTAAGAGCAGGTAGAAGATGCAGGTAATGCCTGTGTTAAGGGGTATAGATACAATGACCATGCTTTCTGGATCCAAAATTCAGATATGGTGCCTAAAAAAGATTTGAGAATGATTATATGAAAAATATTATAAATATATAAAAATTAAATTGGATTGTATTATGAATTTAATGCACTGCCTTTTTTCTGTTATGGTTTTAGTTTGCTTAATTTTTTTTTCCATAATTATTGGGGTACAGGTGGTATTTGGTTACATGAGTAAGTTCTTTAGTGGTGATTTGTGAGATTTTGGCACACCCATCTCCCGAACAGTATACACTGCACCATATTTTTAGTCTTTTATTCCTCGGCCCTCCTCCTCTTCTTCCCCACAAGTCCCCGAAGTCCATTGAATTATTCTTATGCCTTTGTGTCCTCATAGCTTAGCTCCCACATATCAGTGAGAACATATGATGTTTGGGTTTCCATTCCTGAGTTACTTCACTTAGAATAATAGTCTCCAGTCTCATCCAGGTCACTGCACATGCTGATAATTCATTCCTTTTTATGGCTGAGTAGTATTCCATCATATATATATATAACAGTTTCTTTATCCACTCGTTGATTGATGGGCATTTGGCTTGGTTCCACAATTTTGCAATTGTGAATTGTGCTCCTATAAACATATGTGTGCAAGTGTCTTTTTTGAATAATGACTTCTTTTCCTCTGGGTAGATACCCAGTAGTGGGATTGCTGGATCAAATGGAAGTTCTACTTTTAGTTCTTTAAGAAATATCCACACTGTTTTCCATAGTGGCTGTATACTTTACTTTACATTCCCACCAGCAGTGTAGAAGTGTTCCCTGATCACCGCATCCACGCCAACATCTACTGTTATTTGACTTTTTTATTATGGCCATTCTTGCAGGAGTATGGTGGTACTGCATTGTGGTTTTGATTTGCATTTCCCTGATCATTAATGATGTTGAGCGTTTTTTCATATGTTTGTTGGCAATTTGTATATCTTCTTTTGAGAATTTTCTATTCATGTCCTTAGCCCACTTTTTGATGGGATTGTTTTCTTCTTACTGATTTGTTTGTGTTCATTGTAGATTCTGGATATTAGTCCTTTGTCAGATGTATAGACTGTGAATATTTTCTCCCACTCTGTAGGTTGTGTTTAGTCTGCTGACTGTTCCTTTTGCCATGCAAAAGCTCTTTAGTTTAATTAGGTCCCAGCTATTTATCTTTGTTTTTGTCGTATTTGTTTTTGGGTTCTTGGTCGTGAAATCCTTGCCTAAGCCAATGTCTAGAATTTTTCCAATGTTATCTTCTAGAATTTTAATAGTTTCAGGTCTTAGGTTTAAGTCCTTCATCCATCTTGAGTTGATTTTGGTATAAGGTGAGAGATGAGGATCCAGCTTCATTCTCCTACATGTGGCTATCCAATTCTGCCAGCACCATTTGTTGAAAAGGGTGTCCTTTCCCCACTTAATGTTGTTTGCTTTGTCAAAGATCAGTTGGCTGTAAGTATTTGGGTTTATTTCTAGGTTCTCTATTCTATTCTATTGGTCTATGTGCCTATTTATACCAGTACCAGTACCATGCTGTTTTGGTGACTATGGCCTTATAATATAGTTTGAAATCAGGTAGTGTGATGCCTCCAGATTTGTTCTTTTTGCTTAGTCTTGCTTTGGCTATGCAGGCTCTTTTTTGGTTCCATATGAATTTTAGAATTGCTTTTCCTAATTCTGTGAAGAATGATGGTGGTATTTTGATGGGGATTGCATTGAATTTGTAGATTGCTTTTGGCAGTACGGTCATGTTCACAATATTGATTCTACCCATTCGTGAGCATGGGATGTTTCCATTTGTTTGTATCATCTATGATTTCTTTCAGCAGTGTTTTGTAGTTTCCCTGTAGAGCTATTTTGACTCCTTGGTTAGATATATTCCTTTTTTTTTTTTTTTTTCCCCAGCTATTGTAAAAGGGGCTGAGTTCTTTACTTCATCCTCTGCTTGGTTGCTGTTGGTATATAGAAGAGCTACTGATTTGTGTACATTAATCTTGTATCCAGAAACTTTGCTGAATTCTTTTATCTGTTCTAAGAGCTTTCTGGAGGAGTCTTTGGAGTTTTCAAGGTAAACAATCATATCACCAGCAAACAGTGACAGTTTGACTTTCCCTTTACCAATTTGGATGCCCTTTATTTCTTTCTCTTGTCTGATTGCTCTGGCTTGGACTTCCAGTACTATGTTGAAGAGGAGTGGTGAGAGTGGGCATCCTTGTCTTGTTCCAGTTCTCAGAGGGAATGCTTTCAACTTTTCCCCACTCAGTATTATGTTGGCTGTGGGTCTATCATAGATGGCTTTTATTACAAGGGACATACCTGTCCCTTGTCTGCCCATTTTGCTGAGAGTTTTAATCATAAAGCAATGCTGGATTTTGTTGAATGCTTTTTCTGCATCTATTGAGATGATCACATGATTTTTGTTTTTAATTGTTTGTGTGGTGTATCACATTTATTGAACTGTGTATGTTAAACCATCCCTGCATCCTTGGTATGAAGCCCACTTAATCATGGTGGATTATCTTTTTGATATGTTGTTGAATTCAGTTAGCTAGTATTTTGTTAATGATTTTAGCATCTATGTTCTTCAAGGATATTGGTCTGTAGTTTTCTTTTATGGTTATGTCCTGCCCTGATTTTGGTATTAGGGTGATGCTGGCTTCATAGAATGAATTAGGAAGGGTTTCTTCTTTCTCTATCTTGTGGAATAGTGTCAAAACGATTGGTATCAATTCTTCTTTGAATGTCTGGTAGAATTCTGCTGTGAATCCATCTGGTCCGGGACTTTTTTTGTTGGTAATTTTTTAATTACCATTTCAATCTCGCTGCTTGTTATTAGTCTGTTCAGGGTATCTAATTCTTCCTGGTTTAAGCTAGGAGGATTGTGTTTTTCCAAGAATTTATCCATCTCTTCTAGGTTTTCCAGTTTATGTGCATAAAGGTGTTCACAGTAGCTTTGAATGATCCTTTGTATTTCAGTGGTGTCAGTTGTAATATCTCCTGTTTTGTTTATTAGTGAAATTATTTGGATTTTCTTTCTTATTTTCTCAGTTAATCTTGCTAATAGTCCATCAATTTTACTTATCTTATCAAAGAACCAGCTTTTTGTTTCATTTATCTTTTGTATTTTTGTTGTTGTTATTGCTGTTTCAATTTCCTTTAGTTCTGCTCTGATCTTGGTTACTTCTTTCTTCTACTGGGTTTGGGTTTGGTTTGTTCTTGTTTCTCTAGTTCCTTGAGGTGTGACCTTAGAATGTCAGTTTGTGCTCTTTTAGTCTTTTTGATATCAGCATTTAGGGCTATGAACCTTCCTCCTAGCACCACCTTTGCTTTATCCCAGGGGTTTGGTAGGTTGTGTCATTATTATCATTCAGTTCAAAGAATTTTTTAATTTCCATCTTGATTTCGTTCTTGACCCAATACTCATTCAGGAGCAAGTTATTTAATTTCCATGTATTTGCATGGTTTTGATGGTTCCTTTTGGAGTTGATTTCCAGTTTTATTCCACTGTGGTCAGAGAGAGTGCTTGATATAATTTTGATTTTCTTAAATTTATTGAGGCTCATTTTATGGCCTATCCTAAGGTCTACCTTGGAGAAAGTTCCATGCACTGTTGAATAGAACGTGTATTCTGTGGTTGTTGCATGAAATGTTCTGTATATATCGGTTAAGTCCATTTGTTCCAAGTTATAGTTTAAATCCCTTGTTTCTTTGTTGACTTTCTGTCTTGATGACCTGTCTAATGCTGTCAGTGGAGTACTGAAGTCCCCCACTCTTGTTGTGTTGCTGTCTCTCATTTCTTAGGTCTATTAGTAATTGTTTTATAAATTTGGAAGCTCCAGTGTTAGATGCATATATGTTTAGGACAGTAATATTTTCCTGTTGGACATGGCCTTTTACCATTATGTAATGTCCCTCTTTGTCTCTTTTAACTGCTGTTGTTTTAAAGTTTGTTTTGTCTGATGTAAGAATAGCCACCCCTGCTCACTTTTGGTGTCCGTTTGCATCAAATGCTTTATTCCACCCCTTTAGTTTAAGTTTATGTGAGTTCTTATGTGTTAGGTGAGTCTCCTGAAGGCAGCAGATAGTTGGTTGGTGAGTTTTTATCCATTCTGTGGTTCTATTTCTTTTAGGTGGAGCATTTAGGCCATTTACATTCAATGTTATAATTGAAATGTGAGGTATCATTGCATTCATCATGCTCTTTGTTGCCTCTGTATTTTGGTTTTTTACTTTTGCTTTTTAATTTGTATTTTCGTTTTACAGATCCTGTGTGATTTATGCTTTAAAGAGGTTCTGTTTTGATGTGTTGCATTTCCAGGATTTGTTTCAAGATTTAGAGCTCCTTTTAAGCAGTTCTTGTGGTGGTGGCTTGGTAGTGGTGAATTCTCCCAGCACTTATTTGTCTGAAAAAAGACTGTATCTTTCCTTCATATATGATGCTTTGTTTCACTGGATACAAAATCCTTGGCTGATAATTGTTTTGTTTGAGGAGGCTGAAGATAGGGCCCCAATCCCTTCTGGCTTGTAGGGTTTCTGCTGAGAAATCTGTTGTTAATCTGATAGGTTTTCCTTTATAGGTTACCTGGTGCTTCTGTCTCACAGCTCTTAAGATTCTTTCCTTCATCTTAACTTTGGATAACCTAGTGACAATGTACTTAAACAATGATCTTTTTGTGATGAATTTCCCAGGTGTTCTTTGTGCTTCTTGTATTTGAATGTCTAGGTCTCTCGCAAGGCCAGAGAAGTTTTCCTTGATTATTTCCCCCATATATGTCTTCCAAGCTTTTAGAATTCTCTTCTTCCTCAGGAACACTGATTATTCTTAGTTTTGGTCACTTAACATAATCCTAGACTTCTTGGAAGCTTTGTTCATATTTTCTTATTCTTTTTTCTTTGTCTTTTTTGGATTGGGTTAATTTGAAGACCTTGTCTTCAAGCTCTGAATTTCTTTCTTCTACTTGTTCAATTCTATTGCTGAGATTTTCCAGAGCATTTTGCATTTCTAAAAGTGTGTCCAAAGTTTCCTGAATTTTTTATTCTTTTTTCTTTAAGCTCTCCATTTCCTTGAATATTTCTCCCTTCACTTCTTATATCATTTTTTGGATTTCCTTGCACTGGGCTTTGCCTTTCTCTGGTGCCTCCCTGATTAGCTTAATAACTAACCTCCTGAATTCTTTTTCAGGTAAATCAGGGATTTCTTCTTGGTTTGAATCCATTGCTGGTGAACTAGTGTGATTTTTTTGTGGGTGTTAAAGAGCTTTTGTTTTGTCATATTACCAGGGTTAGTTTTCTGGTTCCTTCTCATTTGGGTAGTCTCTGTCAAAGGGAAGGTCTAGGGCTGAAGGCCATTGTTCAGGTTCCTTTGTCCCACAGGGTGTTCCCTTGATGTATACCCTCCCCCTTTTCCGATGGATGTGGCTTCCTGTAAGCCAAACTGCTGTGATTGTTGTCTCTCTTCTGGGTCTAGCCACCCAGTGAGTCTACCCAGCTCCATGCTGGTACTGGGGGTTGCCTGCACAGAATCCTGTGATGTGAACCGTCTATGGGTCTCTCGGCTGTGGATACCAGCACCTGTTCCAGTGGAGGTGGCAGGGGGGGTGCAATGGACTCCATGAGGGTTCTTAGCTTTGGTGGTTGAAGGCTCTATTTTTGTGCTGGCTGGCCTCCTGCCAGGAGGTAGCGCTTTCCAGAGAGCATCAGTTGTGGTAGTATGGAGAAGAACTTGTGGTGAGTGGGGCCCTAGAACTCCCAAGATTGTATGCCCTTTTTGTTCAGATACCAGGGTGGGTAGGGAAGGAACATCAGGTCGGGGCAGGGATAGACATGTCTGAGCTCAGACTCTCCTTGGGCAGGTCTTGCTGTGACTGTTGTGGGAGATGAGGGTGAGATTCCCAGGTCACTGGAGTTGTGTCCCTAGGAGGATTATGACTGCCTCTGGGGAGTCATGCAGGTTGTCAGGGAAGTAGGGGAAAGCCGGCAGTCACAGGCCTCACCCAGCTCCCACACAAGCCGAAGGGCCAGTCTCACTCCCACCATGCCCCCCACCACAGCCCCAAGTCTGCTTCCAGGTGGTGGGTGAGACAGGCTTGAAAACTTGCCCCAGGCTACCCACCTCCCAGCTGTGAAAGAAAAGAGCTTGGTTCTTCCCCTCTGTGGATTCTGCACATGGGATTTGTGCCCTCTCCCAAGTTCTGGCCGGGAGGCTTCTTGCCCCATTGAAATAGTTACAAAGTTCAGCTAGAGATGTCCTTCTCCCTGTGGAGTTTTACCCGCTGCTCTTCTGGCTGCCCTTGCAATGGATCTCTGTGGTGACAGGCAGGAATGGGCTGCTTGGGGACCCAGCGAGCTCCCTGGGCCTTCCTGCTGCTTGCTCTACCCCTGTATTTCGCTCGGCTCTCTAAATTAACTCAGCTCCAGGTAAGGTCGGAAACTTCTCCCACAAACAGACCTTCAGTTTCTCCAGTGGGGGGGTGTGTGTGGGAGAGGAGGGTCTCCCTTTCCCACTTCTGCAGTTGGGCACTCACAGTATTTGGGGTGTCTCCTGGGCACTGTAGGAGCAGTCGCTTCCTTCAGAGGGTCTGTGGGTCCTCTCAGTATTGCTGGTTTGTTCTTGCAGTCGATCTGGAGCTAAAATTCGAGCACTGCCTTTATTAAAAAGAAAAAGATCTAACCAGGACTGTCCCCAGAAAATTAGGCCATATGGGTCCCACATATATGATAAAAGAAGAATAGGGAGAGGATAGCATTGACCACTGAATGAATTATTTCCAATTTTCATCATAACAACAGCTCAATAAGTATCCTACAATGAGATCAGTACACATTTCTTTACATTTAATGTAAATACCAACAGTGGTCACCTATCAACATCATGGAAGAGCACACTTCACAGGTTTCATAATCAAATTTTAAAATAATCACATGTAATAAAAACAAATGACTAAAATACAAAAATGTAATGTATTTATTTACTAAATGGTTAGCTATAAAGATACAATTTCTGCCTTGGAGTTTAAAGCAGTTTCATTTTTTGCCATAGTTACTTTTTCTGATAATATGCTAGAATCACAGTCTTCTCTGTTTTATCTGGATTGTAGGGATTGTTTACATTTTATATGTTTGTTCACTTGAGAACCAAATTTTTTTTTCTTCATGATGATGGAAGCTCTGTAATATAAAAATGTCATTGTGCTCATATATTTGAATAATACCGATCACGGTTTTCAAAGTCTCTGTGAGCATATCTTGCATAAGTCTTGTTATGTGGGATCCTTCCAAAAGGTTCATGGTCATTGAAACAAGATTCAAAAACTTCATCAACAGCCTTTTTAGCTACTTCTTTGCTGATATTCCTAACAGCCAGGATAGAAAGAGTGGCTCTGTCTCGCACACAAGTCTAAAAAGAAGGAAAAGTATGAGGCTCTAATTTTATATAAACATTTAATCACGAAATAATACATTTTATCTAATGTCTGAATTAATTAAAATTAATTTCCTCATATTATTTTACTAATTTCTGTCATTCCAAAGAAGAAAACAAAATGAACAAAGATCCATAACACTTAAGGAGTATTTTTAGCTCAACCTAAAATTATTTAGGCATAAGTAAGACCTTCTCCATTTTCTCATCTTTCCCACTGATATAAGCAGATGTCATTCTCAGAAATTCTTGGCAGTGTCTGCCAAACAATATCTCCCAATTTGCAAACTCGCCAAAAAAAAAAAAAAAGTCTATAAAGTCCTGATTGACTTTTTGATAAAATTTAATTAAATTTAAAATATACTTCACTTCTGTACCTCTCTTTCTTTTCAGTTGACCAATGCTAGATAACTTTTCCTTTGAGAAGGGTAAGTCCTCTCTGGAGGCAACAGGAAACCATACACATATCCACCCGAACTTGGAATGTACCTTAATTTTTTAGGGGGTGTGGAAATTAAACAACTTTTTTTTCCTGATTGTTCTTTACACAGATATTAAAGTTCTAAGATAATAATTTACCTAACATTTCATAGTAATAGGCTAGAATTTCTCAATACTCTAATTTAAATATTTAAGAAATATAAGGCCCTGCCATTCCAATTCTTGGAGAGCTTTTAATCCATTTATTTCTCCCCAGGACCAATCTAAAACTCAAAAGAATGGCATTTGACCTTTTCCTAAAAATAATCAAACACTGGTTTGGATGGCTGTGCATCCTGACAGCCATCCGTTTTCTCCACATGTTCCCAGTTTTTCATTGGCCTGGTCAGTGTGCTCAAGCTGGAGATATTCACTAACATTGGAATATAGTGTTTCTCAACCTGAATTTTACTAAACGCTGATTTTAAAAAATAAACCCCAGGCATAAAGGAACAAGAAAAGGAAGAACCATGTGAAGCCAAAACAACAGTTGCTAAAAAGAGAGGAAATTTCTCCCCTCCAGGGAAAAAAGGTACAAAAATTTGTCTCCTGAAGCCACAGGGTTGGGAGACACAAGTGTAGACCACAGATTTACTTCTTTTCAGACATAATAAATTTCTGTTAAAATAAAGATATGACTATGCAATTTTACAATCAGTAACTGTACTTGCTGTTTCTATTTCCTGGGTACATGCTGTACAAAAGCAGGGACTCCATTCTCTAAGACTCTTCTCCCTCAGCCAGATTCCTACTACCTCCACTTATTTTCTGTCCTATTGCTGTTTCTATTTGTTTTCTGCTGCTGCTACCCAATGGTAAAAAGAGGAAAACTTCCTCTTTCAAAGATTGTGTGCATCACAAACCTATCACAAAGATAGAAGGTGAATTAAAAAAAAAAAAAACATGCTCTATTTCTTTAGTATATCAACTGATTTTTTTTTAATTGGAAAAGAATATAAAATTAGCATATTTTTCTAAAAACAGAGTATATGTAATAGTTTTTTTTTTTAAGGAATTTTTCAAACTCTATTGACAAGAGCAGATATCCATAAGCTATGCCAGCACATGCTTTAACCACATTATTCTCTTCTCTAGGGGCGTGCTGATGTGTACCCTGCTTCCACCCTCTCCACTGACAGCCAGAACACACAGAATTCACCAGAGAAGCAGGGACTCAAGGGCACAGAAAACATGCAGCACAAGACAAGTCACTGGCATATCACTAAGCTGACCTGGCAGAGGCTGAACACCTCACTGTCTAGAGTAATCACCCTTTCCAGGCAGAAGGCTTTTCTTCTCCCTCCCATTCACTAAGTTCACAATTTCTGAGTAGCTCACTGTGACTTTCCACCCCCCACTCCAGAGTTGAGTTACTCTCTTCTCCAGAAAACCAAGGGCCTTCCTGTTGTCCTAAGCCTATCTTTTTTCATCTAGTTGGAACTGATATCGTGATGCTCATATACTTCACAAACTGACTCAGCAGGCTCTTACTGTAGAAAATGACTGACCAGCCTTTCTCCTAAATGTGGACACAGGCCCAGGCAGAACTGCTCACATTCATTATCAATCCATGAGTCCTATACTTTCTTTCCCCACGTCCACCTAATACAGATCTCAAAGCCTTTCTACCAGGATAATCTTGCCTTATAGCTCTCTTTTGTTTTTTGTTTTTGTTTTGTTCACACAAATCCCTCTCAGCTAAGCTCATCATACTCAAGTCTGTGCTAAGCCAAAGGTTTTCTATCACATTATATAGCCTTTACAGGTACACTGACACATAGCCATAACTTGTGCAGCAACACACTCTCTGTTCTGAAAGGGATTACATCTTTTGTCTCCAGAATGCTATGGTAGATTCAAAATAGAAGTCAAGAATTGTTAGAATAACAGTAAGACATGCTGTGATTTCACTTCCATTCCTTATCCACCCCCATCGAAAAGTATCCCAGATGCAAGATCTTAGCTCCTTTTTTTTTTTTTTTTTTTTTGAGATGGAGTCTCACTCTGTGGCCCAGACTGGAGTGCAGTGGCATGATCTCGGCTCACTGCAACCTCCATCTCCCAGATTCAAGTGATTCTCCTGCCTCAGCCTCCATAGTAGTTGGGACTACAGGTGTGCTCCACTACGCCCAGCTAATTTTTTTGTATTTTTAGTAGACACGGGGTTTCACCATGTTGGCCACGCTGGTCTCGATCTCCTGACCTCGTGATCCGCCCGCCTCGGCCTCCCAAACTGCTGGGAGGCATAAGCCACCGCACCAGGCCTCTTTTCATTATTAGACTATCTCACACACTCATTGAGTCACATAGCTTGCCCATAATTACAAAGTAGAACTAAATTCCATCTACTTTGTTTAAATGGTACATACTTTGTATTCTTTTCACATACGAAGTTCTTTCAAATTTCAAATACTGAATGTACTTTTCATTTCTTTATTCATTATTTCCACTCGTAACACTCTGGAGGGGAAGTGATTTCATATTAGTTTTTACCTGGTGGTGTTGTTTTAATCCAAAATGTAACCTGAATATTTCATTGACAAGTGAGCAGTCTCCACTAAGGTTAGCAGCTCGAACCTATCACACAGAAGACAAATAAAAAGAAATAAACGCTCATGCTCTATATATCTTTATGATATCAACCAATTTTTAAAAATTAGAAAAGAATATAAAATTAGCATCTTTGTCTGAGAAAAGAGTATTTGTGACACTTCTTCTTAAAGGACTTTTTAAACTCTATTGACAACGAGAGCAAATATCTATGAGCTATGCTAGACAATGCCAAATACACTGGAGAGATGGGGAAAAGTTCAATCGCCTACCAAAGGAAATTTTCTAAACTTTATGCGTAGCTTTACTGACAGAACTAATTTCTTTTGGAACCAAAAGTCAGAGAGCTAGACCTCAGAGTTAAACTACACACTCTACAAGATACAAATACTTGTAGAAATTGCCAAAAGTACTTCAAGAAAGCATTCTTGAAATAAACTGAGTTTCAATGTGACCTTAAAACTGAATGCATTAATATCTGAGACACTTTGAGAATATGCCCCTCCCAACCCTTGCCCGAATCTCCCTTGGAGCTTCCCTCAAACCTATATAAGTTCATGACCTTCCTCTAGGGACTTGATTGTCCTATGAAAAATGAAGCAATACAAAACACAAAGAATCAAGAACATTCCAAACTGGTCACGCTATGAGCATGACAGCCTGAAATTAGGACATATTTTCAGATTTACTATACTTCAATGAATGAAAAAGTCTTAGAACTACCCACATAGATTCTACAGGCAGCTTGACCACATTTTTGCTAATTCATTGCTAACAGAATGGCCCACTTCTTGTTCCTTCTTCAATATTATGGCCTCATTCCTCTGAGGAGCTCAAAGTACTTAACACACTTTAACTAGCTAAAAGGCATTAATTCTCACAGTACCCAAGAAAGAGACCTATTTAAAAATTCAGGTTTCAGTCTATTCTCCAAATAATTGGAATTATAATTAGATGCAGGGGGCTACATATTAATTTCAAGAGAAAGGGAAATAATCGAAGTTATATAGTATAGGCTTGAGATTTAGATTATTTTAATTAACTCTTCAATTAATGACATCCAAGTATATGCATATGCAGAATACGCTCTCTCTAGGAGCATATTCCAAGAGCAATCCAACGTGCTTAGTAATAAATATCTTTTTATGTTGTATTTTTGAAAAGAGCATGTTTTACTCTAGGGCAAGCAAGGAGCTCTATGGAAGGCAGCTGGGCAAGCTAGTTAAAAACACTAGTTGTAATCCTGCCTCTACCACTTACTAACTTTGGAATCTAAACAACTGTCTCACTTTCCACATATGTAAAACAGGGACAATAATAGTATAATATCTATCTCAGTAGGTTATTGTGAAGATTAAATAAGAATCTGTGCAAACAGAACAGTGTTTGGAACACAGCCCTCAGTAAATTTTAATTATTTTTTTATTTTTATTTTTATTATTAATGTCTCCTATGGAATACATTATAAAATATATTCCATAGGAAAAAATTAATAGCTTATTAAAGTCAGTCATCACTATTACTAGGACTTACAGGATATAGTTAAGAGAATTCTAAAAATACACTTTAAATTTCTCTAACTGTATATCAAAAATGGTATTCAATGTTAGTTATAAACCGAAATTCAAGACTAAGGTAGAACTATGACAGTAAGAAAAGGAATACATTTAAATAAATTACACTTGAATAAAATATTCAAGCATAGAGTATTCTGGAGAAAAATACAATAAAACTCACCTCTGAGCACGCCAAATGTCTGATGTTGGTGAACCAGTCGACATGGGCACGACAATGATCAAATGCATGAATAAGCTCGTGTGTGACCACTCTGTTCATATGGGCCTGATTATGGATATTATTCTGGCACAAAACTATCTAGGAGACACCAAAATAAAAGAAGTTCAGTGATTCTAAAATCTCCTTCCATAGACTCGATCTTCTCTCCCACATGACCTCACCTCTCCCCCACAAGCTCACCTGCCTGGAATATCTCTACCCACTCTTCTTCATTGGCCACACATCTACCCATGGGACAAGTCCTAGTCCTAAGTGTACATGCTCCAATTGCCTCGCCCAGTGACTAACTTCTCCCTTCTCCTCTCTCTGGACTACAGCAGTACTTAGATTAAGGACACGTATTCACACACCATCCTTACTGGGCTGATCGTACTAGTCTGTCTCGGACTCCACAGCATTATGGTTAAGAGAGTGGGCTTTGGAATGAAGCACACAGATTCAAATTCCAGCTCCACCCCTTACTAACTCAGTGACCTTAGGCAAGTTTCTTAATCTCTCTGTACCTCAATTTCCTCAACTATAAAAAGGAGATAATTAGGGTAGCTACCTCATAGAACTGTGAGAATTAAATGAGAATATATGTAAAATACTTCTTATCAAGTTTCTGAATGAGCATTGAATGAAAAAGGAATGACCACCACTGTCCTCATTTTACTAGAATGAGGGCAAATGCCAGGGAAAACTCATCAGAAAGACCTTCAGAAAGAAGTGCAAAACACAACAGCACACTGAGCAGGACCCTATAAGAATAAGAAAGACACAAGGGATCCTAATAGTAATAGCTGCCATTGATTGTGTACTACTGCCAGACACTGGGATATGTGCCAGATATTTATATACATTCATTCAACATCCATTGATTCAACTAATACTTATTGAGACCTAATAATAGATTATAATCTACTGATGGAGATAGAAACTAACCAAATATTTACCAAAATGTTTACATACATGCAATGACAGTTGTCATGAAGAAAAACCCAGGTTGTCATGAGCATATACAATGAGGTTGGGTGCAGTGGCTCATGCCTATAATCCCAGTACTTTGAGAGGCTGAGGCAGGCAGATTCCTTGAGCCCAGGAGTTCGGGACCAGCCTGGGCAACAGAGCAAAACCCCATCTCTATAAAAAAATAAAATAAAAATTAGCCAGGCATGGTGGCACATGCCTATAGTCCCAGCTACTTGGAAGGCTGAGGTAGGAGGATCACTTGAGCCCAGGAGGTTGGTGCTGCAGTGAGCCAGGAACACGCCACTGAACTCCAGCCTGGGCAAGAAAGGGAGACCCTGTGTCAAAAAAAAAAAAAAGAAAAAGAAAGAATGCCTGACCTACTCTGGAGGTGGGGGAAGGTTTCTCTGTGGAAGGAATGGTTAAACTGGTATCTAATGGAGGAATAGAAGTGAAATTTGAGGTGTGGAGGGGAAGGGAGTATTCTAGGCAGAGAGAAAAACCTATGCAAAGCGTAGAGGGAGGGTTGACGGAAGAAAATGCTTGAGAAGCTAAAAGGAGAGCCCTAGAGTTGAAGCACAGCGGTGGGGGTGGTAGGCAACAGATACGGCTGGTGAGGTCGGGGGGCCAAATCCCTGAAGACCTTGTCTTTACCCTAAGAGCAATGGGAAGCTCTCAGGATAAAGGGAATGTTGAAACAGAAGACTGCTTTTGTTTTATTTTGCTTTTATCCTTTTAACTATAGTTGGAAGAATAGGCAGGAGATGGCCAAAACTGGATGCAGAGAAATTAGCTGAAGGCTAATATTCTAGGCAAGAGAGAACAGCACTTCAGCTAGAATGGTGGTGGAAGCCAAAAGAGTTATTTAGGAGGTAAATTAGACAAAATATGTTGATAGAATACGGGGAAGGAATCAGGGGTATCAAAGATGATCCATAAATTTCTGGCTTGGCTAATAGGGTCGATGGTAGCACCATCCACTGAGATATGCAAAACTAAAAGACTGGGTTGAGTGGGGAGATGGGGGATGGTAAAAATCATGAATTTGGACTTACACATTTCAAGTCTGAAGTGTCCTTAAGACCCTTAAGTAGGTGGGGAGCAGTGGCTCTCACTTGTAATCCCAGCACTTTGGGAGGCTGAAATGGAAGGATCATTTGAGGCCAGGAGTTTAAGACCAGCCTGGGCAACATAGTGAGACCTCATCTCTACAAAAAATTTTAAAAGTTAGCTGGGTCCAGTGATGCACTCCTGTAGTCCCAACTACTCAGGAGGCTGAGATGGGAGGATTGCTTGAGCCCAGGAGTTCAAGGCTGTAGTGAGCCATGATTGCGCCACTGCACTCCAGCCTAGGCGACAGAGCAAGACCCTGTCCCAAAAAAACTTTTTTTCCTTAAAAATAAAAATAAATAAATAAATAAAAAGATGCTCAAGTAGAGGTGTTAAATGGGCACTTGGATATATGGAATGTGGAGTTCTTAAAAGTGAGCTTTGACCCCAGAAAATTGATGAGACCTCCTTGGCAGAGTAAGAAAAGAAGGGGCTCTATGACCAAGGATTGAGGGACTTTGACATTTAAATGCTAGTAGAGGAAGGTAAGCTAGCAAAGGAGCAACCAGAAGAGTGCTGTATACTAGAAACCAAAGAAAGTGTTTGGCATTAACAGCTGAAGTCAAGTGTATACAAACTATATGACCCAGTAATTCTGCTCTTGAGCATATACCTTAGAGAAACTCTTGCACATGTGCACCAGTAGCGAAGGTCAAAAATATTCATAGCAGCATTGTTCATAATAACAAAGTTGGAAACAATCAATATTAGAGTAAACTATAGTATAAACACACAACGGAATAAATACCATATAACAGGGAAACGAAATAAACCAGAGAGGTACACACAACAACAAGAAAGAATCTCACAAATGCTGAAGGTGGAAAGTAATTGGAGACTATATACTGTACAATTTCATAATACTACAAAATGCTACATAAAATTCAAAGTATAACATGTATAAAGCTCAAAAGCAGGCAACTAAATAACACACTGTTGGATTGTATATGTAGATGGTAAAGCCATTCAGAAAAGCAGGGAATGGTTACCACAAAAGTCAGGATAAGGAAGGGAAAAGGACCTGATTCAAGAGGACCACGAAGGCTTCTGAAGTCCTAGTAATGTTCTTTTTCTCTAGTCTGGGTGGTGGTTACATAGGTGTGCACTTTATTATTACTGAAAGTGTACATATAGATGTTTTACTCTTCTGTATGAATGAGATACTTCATAATAAAAATTTTCATTTAAAAAAATAGGCCAGGCACAGTGGCTCACGCCTGTAATCCTAGCAGTTTGGGAGGCCAAGATGGGTGGATCACCTGAGGTCAGGGGTTCAAGACCAGCCTGGCCAATATGGTGAAACCCTGACTCTACTAAAAATACAAAAATTAGCTGGGCATGGTGGCACATGCCTGCAATCCCAGCTACTCAGGAGGCTGAGGCAGGAGAATCACTTGAACCCAGGAGGCAGAGGTTGCAGTGAGCCCATATTGCACCACTGCATTCCAGCCTGGGTGACAGAGTAAGACTCTGTCTCAAAAATAATAATAATTTAAAAAATAATAATAAAATAAAAGGAGAGGGTGCCCAACTGTGTTCAACACTGCTGAGAATTAGGATGAAAGTTCAAGATGTGCACTCTGTTTAACCCTGGGGGGACCGAGAAGGGAGTGAACTTATCCAGAGCCATTTTGAGAGCTATAGGTATTGTGATTACCAGTTTACAAATGAGGAAACTGAGAAGAAGAAAAATAACTTGCCCAAGCCCCACAGATAATAAGCAAGGAAACTAGGATTTGAACTCAAGTCTGACTCCAAAATCTAGACTTCTCATCCTTGTTCTATATTGCCACTTCACATGATTACTGTAAAAATGCTATAAATAACCTAAATACATACAAAATTATCCAGCAGGAAACAGTTAAGTGTAGTTAAGTATGAATTATACATTCAAGTGGGAAACAGTTACTTATAACACCATCATTTACCCTGATCACATGACATTATCTACCACCTCCAAGACTCTGTCGAAACTCTCTGATGACTTAAAACTAATAATAAAATTTATTGAATGCTTACTATGGGCCAGGCACTAAGATAAGCAACTCTATAAGAGATATCTCATTTAATTCTCATAATCATTCCATAAAATAGATACAATCGTTGCCCAAATTGTACAGATTAGAAAACTCCCCTAATAAAAAATTTTCACAGGCAGTATCAATTCTCACCACGTAAAGGTAAAAACCCTTTAATTTAGCATTCAAAACCTCCCACCATAGGGCTTACATTTCCTTCCAATCCTATTTTCCCTCATTCCCCACATGTTCCTGCCCTCCAGATAAACTAGACAATATGCCATTCCCTACACATGCCATGCAGTTTCGTAGCATGCACTTTTGCTCATGCTGCCCCTGCTCTGTCCCTGCTCTGCCCCTAAGGAGGCTTTATATCCTCTAGTCGAATCTGTTGGCATCTTTCAATCGATCACATCACTGTTCCATTGTGGTAACCAAGCCCACCTAAAATGGTTTAGCTTGCCTCATTTTATAATTATCTGTGTTCATGTCTTATCTTTCCTGTAAGGCTGTAAACTCCTTAAGAGATTTTAAGAGTAAACTCCTTAGAGTAAGGATAACTAATTCACTTTTTTAGTCCTACATAAAGTCTACCAAACAGAATGCCGAGCATGTGGAAGATGCTCAAAAAATATAAAGAGAGAGGATTAAAGGGAAGGAAACAATTTGGCAATAATGCCTACCTGAGATGTTGAAGCATCAAAACCTCCACTGACATTTCCATTACAGTCTTCGCAAGAAAAGTGTCTATCTTTGTTAACAGCACTAAAAGGCAAGAAAAGGAGACAATGTCCAGAAACAGTGTGTATGTGGCAAACAGCCCTGGGCCAGGGCTCAGGAGACCCTCCACCATATAGTAAATCCCCTCTACTACTAACACATAGGAAATCTTGGGAAAGAAACAACATCTTCAGGACTGTTATCTCACCTGTAAAATAAGGAGGTTGTACACAAAATCCATTCTAGTTCAAATTCTATAGATATGATTCCATAAAACATTTGTCCCCCAGGCGCGGTGGCTCACGCCTGTAATCCCAGCACTTTGGGAGGCCGAGGCAGGTGGATCACCTGAGGTCGGGAGTTCAAGACCAGCCTGACCAACATGGAGAACCCCCCATCTCTACTAAAAATACAAAATTAGCCGGGTGGTGGTGGGCGCCTATAATCCCAGCTACTCAGGAGGCTGAGGCAGGAGAATCTCTTGAACCCGGGAGGCGGAGGTTGCGGTGAGCCGAGATCGTGCCACTGCATTCCAGCCTGGGCAAAAAAAAAGAGCAAAACTACGTCTCAAAAAAAAAAAAAAAAAAAAAAAATTTGTTCAACTGATTATGGCCATATTGCAAGTATGCTGGAGTTCCTGCCCTTGGGCCAGAATGTTAAGAAGTGGATGTCAGAAGTCACTTCCTTTAAACCCCTCAAAGTTATACAACATCTGCAAGGTTCCTACATAACAAGCTGAGATTTCTTTTCCATTAAAAACAGTGCTCAGGCTGGTGTAGCAGAAAGGCCAGGCTTGGTAATTACTTACAAGAAAATTTTGAGTACTGTCTTTATTAATCACCCAAGGTGAATGGTAAGAACTAGAAAATGAGCTGGGCTGGCGCAGTGGCTCACACCTGTAATCCCAGCACTTTGGGAGGCCGAGGTGGGTGGATCACTTGAGGACAGGAGTTCGAGACCAGTCTGGTCAACATGCTAAGACCCCATTTCTACTAAAAATACAAAAATTAGCCGGGCATGGTGGCGTGCGCCTGTAAACCCAGCTACTTGGGAGACTGAGGGAGAAGAATTGCTTGAACCTGGGAGACGGAGGTTGCACTGAGCCGAGACAGCACCAACGCACTCCCACCTGGACAACAAGAGCGAGACTCTATCCCCAAAAAAAAAAAAAAACATGAGTTAGGGCAGAAAATGTCCAAAGAGAACAAGGCCAGCCCGGAGACAATGCAGCCAATTACCTCTATTTACCCTATGGAAAAGACTTTGTGACCTCAGAGAAATCTTAAGCAGTTCTCTTAAGAAGAGAACTTGGTTTTTGTTTTCAGCAGCCAGACCTCAGAGCAGCACTTCAAAAAGAGTTACTTACCAACCTGAGTGTTTCATAGCATCAAGCAGAAGTTTGACATATGGATCTAAAAAAGATATTGATTTAATTAAGTAATTGGAAAAGTAGCACCAATTAAACTACCCAAATAGCAGTGTAAGATATTATCAAAAAGTAACTCACAGGCCAGATGCAGTGGCTCATGCCTGTAATCCCAGCACTTTAGGAGGTTGAGGCGGGTGGATCATTTGAGGCCAGGAGTTCAAGCCCAGCCTGACCAACATGGCAAACCCCGTCTCTACTAAAAATACAAAAATTAGCTGGGCATGGTGGCACACGCCTGTAGTCCCAGCTACTTGGGAAGCTGAGGCATGAGAATCACTTGAACCCAGGAGACAGACATTACAGTGAGCTGAGATCACACCACTGCACTCCAGCCTGGACGATAGAGTGACTCTGTCTCAAAAAAAAAGTAATGTTATCTTAAAATTGGTAAAAATTGACATGAGAGGCCAAGCTTAAATCAACATCAAAGCAAGTTTGTACTGAAATAAAACACTAATACAAATACCAAGATGGTACTACTAAGCATCTTAGACAATATCAACTATGCTTTTAAAGTTCATTTTTAGTTAAATGATCAAACACGTTGTATTACGGTATATACCAAAAGACTGAGGGAATCTAGGGCCACATTCTTAGAAGTGAACAACAGCACAGTACCTAGATTTGAGGAAGCCAGTAGCCACACTGTTCTGTCCTGATCAGATCATACCGGCAATACCATGTCCCATGCTGAGTACTACCACCTTCTAAATTGGACCTGCCACTGAAGCTCTTCCACAGGGGATGGTGACTAGGGTACTACAGACTATTTCCAGTAAGAAGCAAGAAAGGATTTGGGGGGTTGGAAAGGAGACAGAAGACTTAACTAGGACCACACTACTTTCAAGTATTGAAGGGGTGCCATGTGGGACTAGATTCAGTTAATATTTCTTCAAAGGGCAGAACAAGGACCAAAGTATGGAAGTTACATGTGGCAGATTTCAGCTCAGTATGAGAAAGGATTTTTCTCCAACAATTAAAGCTGGTGAAACAATAGACAGTAGATTGAAAGAGCCTCAAGGAACAGGTAACTGTATTCCAGGAGAGGTCTGTAGAGTATCTGGCCAGCAATAGCACAGAGGTTTCCCTGTAAGGGGACGGGGAGGCCTAGACGATTCCTGAGGGCCCTTCCACATCTAAGACTCTATGGGCCCGTGACTACTACAGGAAAGTACAAGGAGCCCAAATGCCTCTGATATTAACTTTTCACATAGGCATCTTGTCTGAGAATATAAATGCACAGCCAATTATATGATGTAACCCAAAAAAAGTGAAAAAGAAACTAAGGTTTAAAAAAAATGTTGAAGGCAAAAATAGGTGAGAAAAAGAAATGTGAGATGAGAAAGTCAGGTATAGGTTACTGCTTTACCAACCTGCCCCTTGCAAGAGTGTTCACAGTAGAATAATTATTGTTAACAATACGTATTATTGAGTGAATACCAGGTAGCAGGCACCATATTAAGCACATTATTATTCATGCAACTAGGAGAATTTTACAAAATTAAAACAGTTTCAAAAGTCTGTAGTCCTTGTACTTAAAAAAAAAAAAAACCATGGTTTAGTACTTCAAAAAGGACCTGCAGCAATATTTAGAATAAAATTGCTTTGGTGAAAAAAAAAAAAAAAAAAGAGACTCCCATGAGGTCTGGTTTCCACCACCACGCCCCACCCAGGGATAGCATTTTAAAGCTGCAGGTTGACACTTTAATACCACCAAAAGACCCTCCCAGCCACCCTGCCCTTGGAAGATCAAGGTCCATTGATTCCTACTGGGGCTCATGTTCAGCACCCCACCTTCCTCACATCCTATCTATTTCCACTCTTCCTCCACTGTGTGGCCCTTCCACTGTAAAAACAGCTACCATTTATTCAGCTCAGCTCCTGATATGCTGGTACTTTACATTCATAAAATCAGTACTTTTTTTTTTTTTAGACAGGGTCTCGCTCTGTTGCCCAGGCTGGAGTGCAGTGATGCAATAACAGCTCACTGCAGCCTCAGCCTCCTGGGTTCAAGCAAATCTCCTGCCTCAGCCTCCTAAATAGTTGGGACTGCAGGCATGAGCCACCACATCCAGCTAATTTTTTTTATTTTTTGTAGAGACAGGGTCTCCCTATATTACCCAGGCTGGTCTTAAACATCTGAGCTCAAGCAATCCCCCTGCCTTGGCTCCCCAAAGTGCTGAGATTACAGGCATGAGCCACCGTACCCAGCCCCATAAAATCTATTCTTCACAACAACCCTAAAAAAGGTATTTTCCCCTTCTCTTTTTTTACAATAAGGATAGTGAGGATCAGAGAAGTTAAGTCACCTTCCACACCTGAGGAAAGGGATCCGCATTTGAACCCACATCTAACTCTGCAACCCATACTCTTTCCACTCTATTCCACTTTGAAGCACCTTCAAGGCAGGGTGCTAACTCATCTTTCTACTTCCCCCACCAGAACCTGGGAGGCACTCAATACATATTTGTACAGTAAATACAATATCATCATTCTCTCCCCTTTTACCCTCAACTCCCCTTCCTCCTCCTACCTCCCTGAGTCTCTACAAGCAGGTAATCCCAAGAAGGTTGGAAAATCTTTCGGTGGTTGACTTTTGAACTGTGACTGACTAGCTATGAAATAGTAACCTTGCTTTGGGACAAGTATGTTTAAGACTAATTTTCTGAATGTATCTGAAAGTAAACTTAAGAAGTCTATGTCAATGTAAAGGAATTAAGAAATCTTCTCTAGTGCAATGTCTCTGGGACGGGAGAGAAATTTGTCAATGGGCAGTTGTGTCCCTGTTTAACCCACAGCAGTTCTTAACCTTTGTGGGGTCGTTGGCCTCTTTGAGAATATGATGAAGCTATTAACTCTCTCCCCCGACCAAAAAAAAATACACTTTGGGCCGGGCGCAGTGACTCACGCCTGTAATCCCAGCACTTTGGGAGGCCGAGGCAGGCAGATCACGAGGTCAGGAGATCAAGACCATCCTGGCTAACACGGTGAAAACCCGTCTCTACTAAAAATACAAAAAATTAGCAGGGTGTGGTGGCGAGCGCCTGTAGTCCCAGCTACTCGGGAGGCTGAGGCAGGAGAACGGCGTGAACCCAGTAGGCGGAGCTTGCAGTGAGCAAAGATCGCGCCACTGCACCCCAGCCTGGGCGACAGAGCGAGACTCCGTCTCAAAAAAAAAAAAAAAATGCACTTAGGGGCACACACACACACATACACACGATTTCACAGACCATTTCAGGGATTTCTACGCTCTGAAGCCCATTCATGCATGAACCACTTCCAAGGAACGGTAGGTTTGCAAAACTGCTTTTATATTTTTACAGCCTTGGTATGCCTTAATTACATTTTTACATTTTTACAGCCTTTGTGTGCCTTAATTAACCTGGCTGGCACTTTAAAACTTGGCCTCACCCTTACCCTGAAGTCACAGTGTGGCTGCATAACTTATGTAAGAAATCGGAGGATCTGTCACAACAGTGAGTGACAAAAAAGGGCAGACAAATTCATTCCACAAGCCAAAAACAGCGACGAAAAGGGTCTCAGCGCCACCTCTAGTGGGGAAACTGAGCCTCAGGCTCCCAACCCAGCCCCCATGATGCCCAGTCTGTCTAGACTCTGTGCTGAACCTGAAGCCCCTGGCCAGGTGTTGCCCAGGCCCTTCCTCGCCCACCCGGTCTCAGACCCATTCTGTGGAACCACAGCCTCCAGGTCATGGCTCCTACTTGTCTCCAGCGTCTTCAGGAGCCTAAGCTGGCACTTCTGGTTGCTGGTGAAGAAGCTGGAGAAGAACCCTTGCTGGGGATTCCCCTGGGCCAGACGCTCGGGGAAGACCTGGCAAGAGACGTGTTGCTGCTGCAGCTGCTCCCCTGCCGCGGGGCCCCGCCGGCGCTCGTCCGGAGCTCCCGCCATGCCTCCCGCAGACCTCGCCGCTGCTTCCTCCTGGCTCAGGCGGCCAGAGCGAGACTGGGAAAGGTAACCTCCCTCCCGCCAACGCGACCGCCCAGGCCCTCCCTCCGCAGGGAAGAAGGGCAGCCTGGCTGGGCTGAAGACGTTAGGCGGGAGGGGGCTTTGAACCTGACGGGGAGCGCGGGAGGCGGGGCGAGAGGCGAGGGGCGGGGCGAGAGGCGAGGGGCGGGGCGAGGGATGAGGGGCGGGGCGAGGGCATGGGGCGGGGCGCGGGGCCCGATGCTGTTGGGCGGAGCTGGGTCTTGCGACTTCCCTCAAAGGCTGTAACAACCCGGCTGCCGCGGATTTCGCTGCTGCCCTCCCAGTGTGGGTGACATGTCTTTATAAGCGTTGTTCTGCAGCTTCCTGCTGCCTGCTGAGCTCTAAGGGTGTCCCGCCTCCTCGCAGACACTCCTTCCTCACCTCGGGGCGAATATTGGCCACTAACTGCTCTTGTGCCGCCGAAGGTCTCGGCCATCCTCCCACTCCCTGCCTTCTTCCGGGGCAAGCCAGTTGTCATTTCTGGCCCGCCACTTTCCCGACCCCTGCCATCCCTCAGATCCACTCTGCCCAAAGATGCCTCTGGCCATATTGAAAGCAGTGTTTTTCAGAAACGTTTTAAAACTATAAAGAATGACTAGTCACATCAAAATCCTCAAAATGTAGGAACCAACTACATTTTTTCTTCCCACCTGTACCCATTCGTTTACCCTACTCTTCTGCCCCACCCCCCACCAATAACTCCCTGATAACAAAGCGCACCCTGTTTACTTCTACCTCTCAGCCTTAACTCATACTGTCATTTCCATCTTTAAGCTCCTTGCCTCAGCCCCTATGATTGGGGCCCAGGTCAAATCTGCCTACTCCACAGGGCATTCCCAGATACCTTAATCAAAATTAATGTCTCCTGATCTCCCAATGTACAAAGCACTTTGTACCTGTTAATCATTTTCATCGTAGCCTGCCAGGTTTTATCCAATTTGTGTGTTTCTCTTTTCCTACTAAATTATTCCACTCAGCTCACACATTTATTCAGCACCTACTATGATGGGCCAGGCAAGGTGTAAGAGACTGAGGAAACACATGACTAAGAAAATTGCTAAAGATGAAGAGCAGCATGTGGTTTATGTAAGAAACATATCTGAAAAATATAGGCTCAGCAGGCCTTTAGGGTTATGAACAGTGCTTTATGTGTCATAGATGCTCAATATCTAAATTGAGTGGGATGCTAGGATAGTCATTCATCTGGAATATTATAAAAATACAAACAACTCCTATGTACATAGACTATTAAAGCCAGAAGTCAAAAAAAAAGTAACTACTTTTTAATTAAATTCACCTTGGATACATTATTTCCAATCCTCACTACAACCCTGCAAAGTAAGTATTATCTCTAATTTGCAGATAAAGTGGGCTCAGCAAAATTCAATAATTTATCTAGGACCACACAACTAGCTTTCAATCCAGTTATTGAACTAAAACACACATATGGAAAACTAAGCCATTACAATTCAGTGTGATTAGTTTGGAATACTGAAGGCAGGCTAGATATGCCTAGAAATGGACCATAGCCTATATACATTTGAAATACTATTTGGATTTTTTTCATGCTTTCTTTTTTAATACATAGATTCAGGTGGTTTATGTGTAGGTTTATTATACAGATATATTGTGTAGTGGTGAGGTCTGGGCTTCTAGTGTACCCATCACCCAAACAGTGAACATTGTACCCAATAGTTAATTTTTCAACCCTCACCCTTCCCCTCCCACTCTCCCCACTTTTGGAGTCCCCAGTGTCTATTATTCCCCTCTGTATGTCCACGTGCACTCAGTCTTTAGCTTCCACTTATAAGTGAGAACATGGGGTGTTTGATTTTCTGCTTCTGAGTTATTTCACTTAGGATAATGGCCCCCAGCTCCATCCATGTTGCTGCAAAAGACATGATTTCATTATTTTTATGGCTGCATAGTATTCCGTGGTGTATGCATAACCACATTTTCTTTAACCATCTGTTGGTGGACACTTAGGTTAATGGTTGATTCTATGTCTTTGTCTTTTTGTCATAACAATTTCTTCTTTTTTTTTTCTTTTTCAGAGACAGGTTCTTGCTCTGTCACCCAGGCTGGAGTGCAGTGGCGTAATCATAGCTCACCACAGCCTTGAATTCTTGGGCTTAAGCAATCCTACCACCTCAGTCTCTCGAGTAGCTAGAACTACTGGCATGCACCATCATGTCTGGTTAACTTTTTAATTTTTTGTAGAGATGGAGGTTTTTTGCTATATTGCTCAGGCTGGTCTCAAACTCCTGGCATCAAGTGATCCTCCTGCCTCAGCCTCCCAAAGCTCTAGGATTACAAGCATGAGCCACCACACCCAGTCACAATTTGTTTTCCTTTGGGTAGCCAGTAGTGAGATTGCTGGGTCAAATGGTAGTTCTATTTTTAGTTCTTTGAGAAATCTCCATACTAGTTTCCACAGAGGTTGTACTAATTTACATTCCCACCAACAGTGTATAGGCAATCTCTTTTTTCTGAATTCTCATCAATATCGGGTTGTTTTTTGACTTTTTAATAATAGTCATTCTGACTGGTGCAAGATGGTATCTCACCGTGGTTTTAATCTGCATTTCTCTGATGATTAGTGATGTTGAGAAGTTTATCATGTTTATTAGCCACTTGTATGTCTTCTTTTGAGAAATGTCTATTCCTGTCTTTTGCCCACTTTTGAATAGGGTTATTTAGTTTTTTCTGGTTGAGTTCCTTGTAGATTCTGGATATTAGTCCTTTGTTGGATGCACAGTTTGTAAATATGTTCTTCCATTCTGTAGGTTATTTGATTCTTTATCTTACTATGCAGAAGCTTTTTAGCTTAATGAAACTCATTTGTCTGTTTTTGTTTTTGTTGCATTTGCTTTTGAGGACTTGCTCATAAATTATTTGCCTAGGTCAATCTCCACAAGAGTTTTTCCTAGGTTTTCTTCTAGGGTTTTTATTGTTTCAGGTCTTAAATTTAACTCTAATTCATCTTGAGTTAATTTTGGTATATGGTGAAAGAAAGGGGTGCAGTTTCATTCCTCTGCATGTCTATCCACTTTGTGTAGCACCATTTATTAAATAGAGTGTCTTTTCCCATTATATGTTTTTGTTGTCATTGTCTAAGATCAGTTGGTTGTAGGTATGTGGCTTTATTTCTGGATACTATTTGCAATACCCTTCAGCTACAGGAATAAGTAAAAACGTACAAACCAAAAGCTGCAACATTTCCTTACTAAATTAGCTAAAACTGTTTCAATACTCATTGTTGAAGAAACAGATGGAAAAAAATTCATACCACAGTATCAATGGTTGTCTAGGTATTGGAATTTTTTTGTTACATTCTCCTGAAATTTTCTAATGTTCCTCAATAAGCATGTATTACCTTTATAATCAGAAAAATAAACTTTAAAAAATCAAGTGGGCTTTGGATGCCATGTGTAACTTCATCTGTATACAGTATAAAGACATAGGTATGGAATAAAAACACATTAAGGAAGAGATAATGAACAGCAAATACAAATGAGTTTTAAAAAGAAAAAGAATTACCACAAAGAAATTAGAGCAAGGGCAAAGATTTAGCTATAAGGATTTTCATTTCTCCATTGCAGCACTAATTGAGAGCAAAAATGGCCAGGCCAGTGGCATGTAATCATAGCTATTTGGGAGGCTAAGGCAGGAGGACTGCCTGAGCCCAGAAGTTCAAGACCAGCCTGTGTGATACAGCAAGACACCTCCTCCTCAAAAAAAAGGGGCGGCAGGGGAAGACATCAATTGTTTAAATATCCAACAAGAGGTATAATGGAATATATACAACCATGTTAAGTGTCTTTTTTAAACAAAATATGTTCATTAAAAGTTTTTGGGTGTTTTGTTTTGTTTTTTTGTTTTTTTGTTTTTTGAGCCAGAGTCTTGCTCTGTCGCCCAGGCTGGAGTGCAGTGGCGCCATCCCGGCTCACTGCAACCTCTGCCTCCTGGGTTCAAGCAATTCTCCTGCCTCAGTGAGCTGGGATCGCGCCACTGCACTCCAGCCTGGGCGACAGAGCAAGACAACAGCTCAAAAAAAAAAAAAATTCAGGCTGGGCGCGGGTGGCTCATGCCTGTAATCCCAGCACTTTGGGAGACCGAGGAAGGCAGATCACTTGGGATGAGGAGTTCGAGACCAGCCTGACCAACATGGTGAAACCTCATCTCTACTAAAAATACAAAAATTAGCTGGGTGTGGTGGCGCCGCCTATAATCCCAAGCTACTCAGGAGACTGAGGCAGGAGAATTGCTTGAGCCCAGGTGGTGGAGAGGTTGCAGTAAGCCGAGATCGGGCCACTACACTGCAGCCTGGGCAACACAGTAACTTTGTCTCAAAAAAAAAAAAGTTTTTTAAGTTCCAAACTAGCATATACAGTATGATTCCATTTTGAATTTGTACTTACTATAATTCATAGAAAGGGTCTGGAAGACTCCTACAAAGTATTCACATTGGTTGTCCTTAAATGGGTAGGATTTGGAGGTTTTGTGTTTTGGGGGTTTTTTTGGCCTTCATTTTCTAAAGCAAAAATAATTGCTTTTTTAATGGGAACTAAATTATTTAAAATTGTATAAATCTATCACAGTAACAAATAAATTACATATAATTGTAAAGAGTTTACCACCTGTCAGCTGTGAAAGTTGATCATATAAATCGGGTCACTTTTGTCATACCAGTTAAAGAGTGGAGAGGCCAGAGGGAAAAAACATTCAGGTCACAAATATCACTTGAAAAATATAATTCTCTACAGGCCTGGCTGCTGAAACTGCCTGCTAACACTTAAAACCAATTTAATCTAAAGGCTACTAAGACAGTCTGCTACAATTCTAAGACTAATTTTACCCACCACCGTCACTCAGCAATCAGTTTGCCAACCCCACCAAAACATTAATAGTGCCAATAAACTCTCTTGGAGACCAATACGTAACATTTCTCCTTCTTATAAAGTCTCTAACCTCTTCACTCTTCAGACATCCCGAAGACCACCCCAGTCTACATATATGCCCCAAATTACTATTTTCTTCCCAAATAAAGCATTCTAATTTCAAAGATTCATCTCTATATTCTGACTTAACAGCTTTTAACACTTAATGCTGTTTTTTAGTTGACAAATAAAAATTATATTTATAGTATAAAACATGTTTTGAAATATATATACATTGTGGAATGGTTAAATAAAGCTAACATGTACCCTTCGGCTTTTTAAAAACTAACGTCCAATTCATCCAATTCCGTGAGAGTAAAGCCTTTGCTTAGCTTTCCAGTCCTGTTAAACGGGGGGGAAACAACAAAAGGGTCCTCAGGGCCCTGCCCAACAATACGCCACATTCTGTCTAGTAAAGCCACACAGCCAGAAAACGCCAGGTGACTGGCAGGCAGATACTTCCGGAAGAAGTCGGCCCTCCGAACCCGGAAGTGAAGCGATAAGACGCACGGTGTTCTGGGAGGAGTTACGCAGGCAGGGTTGTGGTTGCTGGCTGTTACCAGGACAACCGGAGGCGATTGACCGTTATCTGCGGTTTGGAGCCGTTAGCGGGAGAGGCAGAGATATTCAGAGGTCTTTTAGGATGCGCTAAAGGGTCGTGAGGGCTCTCTTAAAATTTTCTTCACAAGCGGTTATCCAGTCGTGCCCCGCGGCCCTGCTGCTGGCCCCGGGGATCTGAGTCGTACCCTCTTGTTTTTCTCTGAGTCAGTCTTAAGGTGAAATGAAGTGTGGCCCAGTGGCTCCTCACTGTCGCTTCTCTAGTTTTCTGCCTCCTTTTAGAAAATGTAAGTTGAGAATTTCTAATTTACATCGGGATGTGTTCTAATGCGCTTGTTTTTAAAACTGTGGAAAATTTTTAAAAGAAAATAAATCTCACCAGTCATCCAGCTACCCAGAAGTAACATTTTCATGCATTACCTATTAATTTTTTTCTCTGCATATTTTTTCATAGTTGAGATAATTTAGGGAAAACCATTTTGTGTCCTTCATATATGGATGAATACAATATAATTTTGGTATTAATATCATAGCAACAAAGAAGGCATTGAAGGCTTTAAATCTGTTTACAGTGAATTGAAAAGACAGGATGAAGTGGACACAGCATGTGAAGACAATTCTTTCAAGAAGTTTGGCTGTCAAGGAAAACAGAGAATGTGAGTAGCCAAAGCAGAATGACAGTGAAAGAAAGAAATTGGGAGCCAGACAATACAGCCCGACAGTTTACGCCTGTACGGATGTACCTCTTTCACAAAAGATTGAGTATGCTTGGGGAAAAAAAATACACACTATAATAGGAGAAAATGATGAAGAGAAACTGAGGTAAAGGTAATTGGAAAACAAAATAAAGCCAGGGGTATATTAATACCCCAAAACTTCATACCAAAAGGTCCGTGTATTTACTAGAGGGGTGCCACAAATTGGGCTCTGAGGTTCCTAGCAATTAAACCAAAGGGAAAATATAAGTTTAACATGATCCGTATGAGGGAGGAGGCCTAATGGCATATTATAGAATCCTGTTACACATTAGCTGTATGAAATTGATTGGGTAATGTAAGCTCTTTAGACCTCATTTCTCCGTCTCTTAAAGAGTGGGGAGAGGAAGCAGGAGACTGTTAGACGAGTTGATCTTTTAATATCTCTTCCACTACTGACAGTCTATGATCATATAGGCCAGAGACGGCAAACTCAGATGCCTAAATTAGGGACTAAGAAAGTTTCATAAGTGAGGAAATGGACTGAATGTGACAAAAGCAAGGAGTGATAGAGATTGGAATGTTAGAGTTGATTGAGCTGTCCCATCTAAAACTCCAGCCAATTCTTGCAAAAATAAGGACTCAGTGTTGCCTGATTTTTCAGGAGAAACAGGAAAATCATATTTTTGATAATATTATACAAAACAAAACACCTCTACTAGCTAGATACAATTTGTGGGTCACTAATTTTCAACCTCTGCTATAGGTGAAAGGACCTCAACAAGAGGGATAATTGCTTGAATTAAAGAATTAAATATGAAAAAGAGGAAGAAGTCAAAAAGAATACCAAGATTTCCCCTTGGTAATAAGAAGGAGTTAGTAACATTGATACTAAAATCAGCAGAAGGTTTGGGGAGAGAAGGTGCTTTATTGTGAGTTTCTTGAACATGGGGCAAACTTATTTATGTGTATCCATAGCACATGAATCCAATTCAGCTGCTGGATTTGAGAAATCTGTGGGATTTATCAGGGGAAAGGGCGCAGGAATGTAGGTCAGGAGTTTGGGGAAAGAAGATGAAAAAGGAGTTTAAGATGTAAGATTCATTCTTTCAATAAAGTTTTATTGATTATATATCACAATATGTATTTTCACGAGACTCTAAACTGTCTGAGGGCAGAAAGCACGGGGTTTTTTTTAACCACTTACCCAGCTCCTAGCACAATACATAGTCAGTGCTTATGTATGTTGAAAAAACAAATGAAAAAATACAAAACACTGTGCTTTACAGTATAGGAGATGCAGAGTTGAATTAGAAAATCTTAAGGGAACAAGAAACACTGGGGTCTGCTTGAGGGTGGAGGGTGGGAGCATGCAGAGGAGCAGAAAAAATAACTATTGGGTACTAGGCTTAATACGTGGGTGATGAAATAATCTTTACAACAAACCTTCATGTGTACCCCCAAACCTAAAATAAAAGTTTAAAAAGAAGAAAATCTTCTTAAAGAAGTTTATAGAGCAGGGGCCCCATCTCCTTAAAAAAAAAAAAAAAGAAAAAGGAAAAGCGACTTTATAGGCCAGAAAGTAAGACAAGTCTTAACACATAAGGAGCTAATGCAAGTTTTAAAGTAGTGCCATTAAAAAAAAAAAAGTACCATGGGATTCAGAAGGGAAAGATCTTTTTAGAAGAAGTTAAGAAGTTAAGCTCTGTCTTTCTAGATAGTGGACAGTTAGGATTAGATCACACAGGTGTTGGGAGAGGAACTGATCAGAAGCAGTTAAATAGAAGATGTAGGCTGGGTGTGGTGGCTCACACCTGTAATCCCAGCACTTTGGGAGGCTGAGGTACGTGGATCACTTGAGGTCAGGAGTTTGAGACCAGCCTGGCCAACATGACAAAACCCCGTCTCTACCAAAAATACAAAAATTAGCCGGGTGTGGTGGCGCACACCTGTAATCCCAGCTACATGGGAGGCTGAAGCAAGAGAATCACTTGAGCAGGGGAGGCAGCCACTGCCCTCCAGCCCGGGCAGCAGAGTGAGACTCTTGTCTCAAAAAAAAAAAAAAAAAAAAAAGTGTATACCCTTCTTTTGAAAGTATTTGAAACTGCCAAAAAAAAAAAAAAAAGAGTGAATAGTGAAACAGTTTGAAGCCAGAACCTTGAGAATCACCCACATATAAAGAAGGTGAAGAAGAAAAACCAACAAAGTAAACAGAGAAAAAGTCATCAGAAAGCTAAGAGAAACATCAGGAGAGTGGGTTTCATAGGAACTAAGATTCCGGGTTTCAAGAAGGAAAGTTCTGTCAATATTGTCAAATACTACAGAGACAGCAAGCCATCAAGGAGGGTCCAAGTTCATTGGATTTGATGATTAAGGAAATCACTGATGACTTTAAACAATTGGCCAATGAATATAAGAAGAGGAGGTATAAAAAGCAGTAGAATTGAAAGGCTTGTTGATTTGTTTAGGGAGGTGGGGAATGGGGTTCCTTAGGAGCAGGGGAAAAAAATAAAAGACAAGATTAAGCTGCAAAACAGGACAAATTTATGAAGCAAGATTTTGGAGAATCTAAGCAGTGATGAGATCAAGAAATGGAGGAAGAGTAACATCAAGAATAAGCATTATAATTCTAACAAATATTGTTCAATTACAAGTAACTTTTTAATGTCTATCATCATGTTTTCTTGCCCAATG